>NC_000003.12:131887392-132038907 GCF_000001405.40 Homo sapiens | reverse complement strand
GAAAATGAAGGTTTGGAGCTAAACACGTTGCTACCCTCCACAAAATTATGTTTTTCTTAGTAAGGAAAAACAAACAAAAATGAATATAGGCTGGGCAGATAACAGCCTCTGCAACCAAGGGATATTTGCTTGCTAATATTCCTTAAGCCCAGAGGAATGGAGTGCTAATGGGTTTATCATAGGCATGAAAAATGGTGTGTCTGGGAAGATATTATGTAGTTAAAAAGCAGAATCTTGGAGCTGGAGTTCAATCCAAATACTTTCTTTTTACAATGAGAAAACTGAGGCTCAGAGGGACAACTGAGAGACCTCATTAATAGAGCAATAGGAAAATCTGCTCTGAAATTATACAGAGCTATTTAGTGGCCTTTATAACATCACTCATGATAAAATGTAAAATCTCAGAAAGAAAATGCCCTCTGCCTATGGTTTTTAAAATACAGGAAAGAAAAGCTAGAGATTTTGATGCCACCTATTGGTAGACAGAAGTATAAACTGCCCTTTCGTAGCACAGGTTGTTACCCAATGTTAGAGGCACCACAGGTGGTATAGGGTTCTCATAAAAAGGAATGACAGACAGTGGAATATTTAATTCCTGCATCAGCTTGCAACATGTATGTTCATTTTCCCTTGACTCTTAGCATCTTAGAAAAAGTGCTTTCTTAGAGTGTTCCTTTCTGCTTTCCAGTAATACATCACACCTCAGGCATATACAGAAACACCAGAGGAAGACATATCAGTCAGTTCTCAAAAATCACTTGAAATAGAAAAAAAGAACAAATTTTTGAGCTATAAATAGCCCTGGGGTGAGATTCAAAGTTCTTATATGATCCACAGCCTCAAAAATATATCCTGTTATTTACAACAGTTTCCTTTAGTAGTTCTTACAGAAAAAAAAAAAAAAGAAAGAAAATAAAAGGAAACAGAAATTCCATTTCAAAACTAAATGCTCACCCTGACTCATTCAGGGAAGGATCCAAGGTTTTTGATGCAGGGCACTGACTCTCTGCCTGTTTTTCCCCTTCATCATCTGCTCCCCTTAAAAAATGGTATCAACTGCATTGGTAAGAATCCACATTTCTTCCCTTTTGTTCCCTGGCTTCATTCCAGGATTTCACTTGTCACACTGATGGGTGAGATGCCTTTCATATTGGCATAAGACACTGAGCGGATGCCTCCTCTTATCTTATCAAACAGAAACCCGGCGAGTGAATCTACCCAGAGCTGAAGCTTCCTTTGCAACTTGGGAACACCAGGGCCACAGTGACTTTGTGGCTTGGCTTTAGATAAATTTGACCATGGCTGTAGAACCCAGCAGCTCAGAATCCATTAAAAGGAGAGCTGGGAGGAGGTGAGTGATAGAGACAAGGGGATTTTGATGTTACAATTGTTGAGGGGACTGTGGCTGGCGGGCAACTTGCTGTGGGGGCAGTGATTGAAAACATGGATTATTAGCTGGTTACAAATCTTCATTTGTACAGATGAGCTGTTGATTTCATATAAGAGGTGGAAGTAAATTCTGCTTTATGTGCCCTGTAAAAAGCTTCTTTGAATTTACCTTCAGTGTCATGCCTTCAGAAAAAAATTCCAAGTTTCTGGCATAAAGCTGCACGTTTTCTGCGCACTGGCATGCAGGCAACTGTTTGTTTCTAATTACGGAGCTGAAGCCTGCTGGCAAAGGAAACCATATTTGTCACAAGTTGTGGCATTGTGTTTAGTTTGTGTATCTATGCTTTTAACATGTAGGGCCAAAGATAACTATGTTGTTTTTCTTTTTCCCTATGAGCATTGACTCTATAACTTCTTTTCTATGGTCCATGTGTTCACTTATTCTAGCTGCCCCTTTAGAGACTGCTTCAATGAACAACCCCTATCCTCCCATTAACTAGTTGTGTTCCCTGGTCTGGTCATTTCAACCGCCCACACCCTGGATTTATTTTTGTAGATATAGTAAAACTTTCTTGGGCAGGTTGTTGTAAAAATTAAATGGGATGGTAAGTAGAGTGCCTAACAGATTGCCTGGAAATAGTACATGCTCAGCACATCTTAATTCCTTTTCTCTCACCTGTAATATAAGAAGTTTATGTTGAATGGTCCCTAAGGTATTTATATTATTTTTAATTTTATAAATGTAGAAGGTGGTAGACACCTTTCTAGGCATTGGGGTTATAATTATGAACAAGACGACAAAACAGACATATCCCTTGCCTTCATAGAAATTAAATTTTAGAGGATACAATTAACATGCAAGGAAATGCACAATGACTTTTCCTTCTTCTTCCTTCATCTTTGCAAGTTCAATCCAATTCAAATTTTGAGTTTATCTCTGAGGCTACCTCTTAACAAAACCTGGAAGTAATGTTTTTGGACTTAACATTTTCATATTTAGTAGTCATACACTGGTTTTGCCTGCTTAGCATCCGTCTCCCCTTTCCTGGTAGGAGGACCCTGAATATCCCTTGGAGAATTGTCCCTGTGTCTCACTCGCAATGTGTGTAGATCAGGTGGGGCTCCATCCTGGCTCCAGGAGTGCTATAGAAGACATCACATGCTCCTAGACATTGTGGAAGTCCTGGCCCATTAGTGTAATTCCATATCCAAAGGTCACAACGATTGACTTATGCATAGCCATGTGACCCAAGTTTTTGCAATCAAAGCAAATCCAAGGATTTCTGTGGTAGTTTCAGTGTACAGAGAAGCTCCCTGAGGTCCTTTCCAGGGTCCATGTTTAGTGTTATCCTATTTCAGAAAGGCTTTAGAGGTGACTGAAAGAAGAAAAATGTTATTTGTGTTCTGTCAGAAGGTTGTCCCTTTGTTTATCAAAGATATTTCTGTCTACTTCTATAGAACAATTAAGAGGGGGTCTTCCTCCTTACCCTATTGGTTCTCCTTTTCTGGACTTTGAAATTGAGAACTTCATGGTTAGTGAAAAGATTTTGGCTAATATCTCCTCCAACCTTCAGGTTGGAGAGGCTTTGTTAGATAGCCCCTTAATAGGGTGAGAAGGAAGACCTTCCATCTCCCCTCCACGTTAGATGTAACACACTCTATACCATCCCAATGTCAGAAAGAGACCGTCATTCACTTTACTTCATTAATTCCAAAGTCCAATTTGTGAGTCTGACAATACCAATGTGCAGAGAGAATTTAGTTGTCTAGTTTGTCTATGGTAGCAGACATAATCAGAAACAATGCCCTGTATTTGAATAAGTTCATTTGTCTGAATTTGAATAAGTTTGAAATAGGAAGGCCATACTTTCTCTCTAAAGTGCTTTAAAACATGTGGAAGTGGTCACCCCTTACATAAGACAGCATATTTATATCTATCTTTAAGCATAAGTACTCCCTAAGTATTTCTTTATCTTATTTGTGAGGTAGATGTATTCAGAAACTCATCATGAGATGAAGAAAATACTCTTTGTCCATTAATTTACTCATGCATTACTTACTAAAAATAATTTCCAGGCTCCTGCCATACGCCAGACAGTTTTGTAGACACGAAGGATCCAGAGATTAGCAACACCTTTACCATTTTTGGTGACAGTTAAGCACCCATCTAAGAAGTTTTCTTTGGTGAGTGCCAAAAAGTGTAACTCCCATTCCCCCCACACCCGCGCCGCGATACGACCGCTCCACCCTAGAGTGGAGATGGAGACCAAGCACTTGGAGATCTAAATCAAGTGTCCCCAGGAGCTCAGTTGAGCGACAAAGCTGAGCAGAAAGCCCAGACTGCGGGCGCGGCAGGACCACGGAGAGCGCCGCCGCCAAGGCCTGGGCGGGGCCTGAGCTCGGGTTCCCGGGGCAATGCTCGTCTCCGTCAGCAACCCCCAGGGGGCGCTCGCGCGGAGGTTTCGGAACCAGTCTCTTGCCGGGTTGCTGGGTGCATGGGATTCGTCAGAAGGTGGAAATCTCTCTGTGAGAAGCTGCCATCTCCCCGCCACCCGCTCGTCCCCTTCTCTTTCTGCCACCCTCCTTTCCTTCCTCCCTCGCTCCACTCCACTCCCTCCCTCTTTTCTCAGTACCCTCCTCTTTACTCTCCGAGTTAACTGAGAGCCGACCTGACATCTCCAACATTTTCACCCTCTTCCCCCACCCCCATCACCGAGAATGGAGTCAGGGTTTCCGGAGAGACCGAACTCTGCTCTCAGCACCTTTCCCAGCCGCTGTTGCTAAACTGACCTCGGAGGACGAGAGGGGAAGGAGGTGCGACGCCCCTTACATCAGTACAAAACTACCACACCAACCACCTCCACTTCAAAGCCGGATTTTGCATCCTGGGGGCGGGACAGACCTCGTCCCGGGCTGAATTCTCTCTCCACTCTTCGAGATTGGCACACCCAGGTAAGTAAATGCCAACTCTTCATTCCTGTGTTCCTGGGGCGCTGTGATTGCAAAGTCTGTTGGAGCTGCTGCGTAGCAAGACCAACTTTTGAGATGCACTGGTTCTCGCTCACCTTTGCACGTTTGTCATTGCTGTTGTTGTTTTAAAAAGCAGCAGCAAGCAACGTCTTTAATCTGAAGGGACTTCCATCCCCTACCTCTCGCCTTCTGACATCCACCCAACTCGCCCAGGTGGGGTGGGGCGAATGGAGTTGGGGAGAAAGACCGCGGAGGGGAGGGGACAGCATGGCACGGGTGAGGGATAGGTCAGGGAAGTCCCGAAGGCGGAAGAAGGGGTACGGTTTTCAAAATCGGGGAAGGGGAGGGGAAGGGAGTTCTGGCTGAAGTTGCAGCTTCCTCTCTGACAGTGAGAAAGCTGTGGGACATTGTAGTCCCTTCCAATGGCTTGACCTGGCTGCGGTTGGATTCAGCCTCTCAACCTCCTCCCCCACACTTCTTACAATGAGGTTCTAATAATATTTTAGTTGCCTCTTCTCAGTGTTAAAAACTAATGAATAGGCTTGCAAGTGCTTTGATTCAACGTAGTCCTTCAGCGCTTCTTCCTCTATGGAATAAAGTAGCCAGAAGGAAAGGGGGACGGGGACAGGGGACGGGACTGGAGGGACCACTGAAACCAAGCCACAGCTGAGTAAGGAGATCACGACCCCGCGTGGTATCACAGACACACGAGAACTGTTAGGGCTGAATCCAATGGAGATAATTAGGAGGTGGTCCACGCCAAGTCAAGCGAGTGCTGATTACCATCCGGTGAGGAGCAGGCTAAACCCTGATGAAAAATGCTCCTCCTTCATCTTGGAGTAGGTGGGCTTTAAGGCCCTATTTCCCATTCTATGTTCCAAATCTGACGGCGCCCCAGGGCGCCTTGGCGGATTGCCTTTCAGCCCCAGAACCTGCTAGGCTCCAGGGAAAGTCACAGGCGGCAGAGATGATCCAAGGGGCGCAAATCTATGAAGGGCTTGATGTGGGTGGTTGGGAAGTGGAGGGGGGAAAGGTGAGCAGAGTGAGGCGGGAGGGGGCTAGGGAAGCGAGAGTGCTCTGGGAAGCTTTGCAAGAGAGACATCTGAGAACCTCTCCCTCTACACACACACACACACACACACAGACACACACACACACTCACACACTCTCACAGGATTTCAGTGACTTGTGGGAAAAGATGCCTCAGCACCTTTACACCCTGTGTTCAAAACTATGCAAAACCAACTCTTCATCCTCTTGCTGCTTTGCCAGGGATTTTAAAAGCACTGTTCTGGTTTTTCTTGGCTCACTTGGTTTTGTTTCCTGAACAGCACTTTTGAGCTGTCCAAGATACTTTAATATGTTATCTTTAAATGAAACTAAATCCTGCTCATTCGCGCGCCCCCGCGCGCACACATACACAGGCGTACACAATTACCTTAACTTCAAATAAAGTGTTCTTTTCTCCATACTCTTCTATTCCCTTAACAATCCCTGTTCTCAAAGGCCTTTGTGTTTTATTTTCTGCTTTATAACAAAACAAAAAAACAAACACCCACCGTCCTATGACACAGGTGTTTTGAATCCATGTCAATTTTTGTAGTTAGTATATGCTGGTTAAACCACATAGCATATCCCCCAAAAAGCCAGAGGCAAGCAAAAACTTAATTTGATGCCCTTCAAGTTTCGGAAGGTCCCATTTCTTTTTATTAACCAAAAGATAAGATGAAGCTCAGCATGGCTATGGCTGTGATTAGATAACTTCTGATATTTTCATTTCCCTTACCGAGCTGCTGCTTCTAGGCTGAACTCATTCACCTGCCCATTTTTAAAGAGAGACTGACAAAGTCACTCTGGCAGGTCAGGACTCAGAGTTAGTCAAAAGTTCTCACATGTAGAGAGGTGCATAAAATAGAGGGAGGGTTGGAAAATGCAGTCAGAACACCTGTGTTAATAGTGCATACTAATAAAGGCCAACATTTTCTCAACTATCTCTCATGGGAAGATTCTTATGGTTTTAGAGGATCAAACTCAAAACACATCAGAATGAGGTGACTTTTCCATTAACATTACATAAAAGGATATATTGGTCTATAGCAATAGTAGATGTTTAATCCTGGGCAGTTTTGTATGATTGTGTGAGAAGAGATTGCCTATAATTGAACCAAACCTCTACTTATGTGTTAACAAGTAAAAACTCCCATGGCCATCAAACTTATGCCTTTCCTGTGAGTGGTCAACCTTATTTTTATTCTCCCAGACACAGGCCCAGCATATTTGACTGGGAGAAGGCACAGATGCGGTACAGTGACTTCCCAGTTTGAGATAGTTGCTTTACTAAAATTCCTAAATATTTCTTTGAAAATAGTTGCTCTGAGTTGTTTCTTAAGTGTAAAAAGAAATTAAAAGACTTCCTGTTTATCTCCAAGTCTCCAGTAGCAACATGACATTTTGGTGAATTATTGGTTTGTCTTAAGGGGACTCTGGTTTTAGAGGTTTTAATTAAAAGGTGTTTGTTCTAAAGTATACTTAATCTGCTTGTGTATTTCTAATTAAAAATACCTCATTTCAGTTAGTAGGAAGTAAAGATGTTATCTGTTTATAGAGAAGTTTTATGTAATATTCCAAAACAATAGAAAAAAGCTTTGATTCTTTTAAATAATTAGATTATTCAAGCCCATTATTATGACTTAAAACCTTGAGGTTATACTGACTATAAGAAACAATCACAGACCAAAAAAAATGGGTTAATGGTGGAATCTTTATTCTCATATGTATTTGAATCTTTTGGAATTAATACTGAACACATTTATAAGGTTTGCACTATGCCTTCTTCTGACTTCACTTCGAAAATTCTTTGAAATGTAACACCCTAGAACATTATGTTACCTTTATCCACATAAAGAAAGGATCTTTTCATTTAGAGATGAACTTATTGAAGATGAGCCGTCAGTGTTGTGTGTAATCAATACCACACATTTTCAGAGTGGTCTGAATCCAGAACAAAGAATGAGACAGGTACTCTGATGATATCAACTTGGCTAATTGGGTAAAAGTCTCTACACTAGTTGGGAAAAATCACTTCATGCATCTTTGTATTTTTTAATCAGTGGTGTGTAAGAAGATCTGTATTCCGTGCACTTTGAAGAGAGAAAGGGCTAAATTTGTGTTCCATATTTGATCTTTCCATTTTTGTCTTGTTAATATTTTAAAAGAAAAACAAAAACCTTTGCAGATCCATTCAGTAACCCAAAGTCATATTTCCTTGGCAACAGTAGCCAGTACACTAGATTTACAAAATATCAAAATAGAAAAATTTAAATGCATTCAAAATAAAATGTCACATAGTTCAAGACCATTCTTTGGTGCATTAAAACTGATCTTCCAACATGTAATAATACAGTTGCCTTTCTCCTGATTGAATGTAGATGGCAAAGAATAGATTACTGATTTTAATTCTTTTTAAGATGTCCCCAAAATCTTATAATATTTTCTTTTCAGGGAAGCACATTATGATAATAATTTAGGTTGGGGTTACACATCCATTTTTTGGATAAAGTATTTATGTGATAGTTGATGGTAAATCCAAAAATCAAGCACAATAAATGGGTCAGGTAAGATGCATCATCTTTTCTATGTTATTTGAAATAGTCTATAGTAAGGCCTCAATTAGTGTTAAACTCAGTGAATATCTCCTAAACTTGTGACTGCATAATAAAAACATATTAGTGCCTACATATACTTTCAGGTTTTCTTTTTCTGTACTAGAAACTGCAGTTATGTGGGAGCTTTCTGTTTGCTGTATGAACTACTAAATATATGTGATATATTGGATATATTTTCTCCTAAATCAGCACATCCTGGGAAGTCCTTTATTTGTCTGCTGTATTCTTTGGAAACCCTCTTGGGAACCATCAGCTTTTAGCTCAGTAAATATTGAGGGTTGGAAGGCAAGTCTCAAAAATAAGAAAGTGATAAGGATGCCTTCTTTGGGAAAGTTTATTCCAGTCCTATTATTTTAGTCATAGGGCTGGAAGGGGAGCCCATTTAAGCTGATCTGTGATGGACTCATCTCTAAACTGTGATCAGCAACTTTCAACAGTGCAATATTTACCCAATAAATGTGATTGAATTTGTACAAAGTCATTGTCTGCAGCCATCTCCGTTAATGTGCATGTTCTATGACTCTCAGAACTGGAAGAGAGCTTGGGGATCATCTGCTGACTCTAGCAATTTAATTTGACAAATGTGGAAACTAAAGCTCAAATAAGTGACTTCTCAAAATCAGGAGACTCATTCAACAACCCTTCTGATTACTCCCCTCATAAAGAAACTCAAGTTCCCTGGAGATAATTACAGCAGTGGAGCCAATCTCTGGCACCATGTGCACTGCTGATCTTTATTAAGTATGAGTTAGGGATGATTGCGGGGGTGTCTCCCACCTCCATTAGAGTGTTAGGAGGAGTAGGCTTGGGACTTATTACATTGCTGTCTCTTGGAGCCAGTGCAATATTTACCCAATAAATGTGATTGAATTTGTACAAAGTCATTGTCTGCAGCCATCTCTGTTAATGTGCATGTTCTGTAAAAAATTGCTCATGCATAGACTTAGCTTTCTATTTTAAATGTCACAATTGAGTCAATAAAGTAAACAAAGAGAGTTTATGAGTGTTTACAGTTCCAGGAACACACAGGGGAATCCTTTATTCTGTTTTAAATTAAAGCGTCATTCAAAAAGAACAAACTTTCTTAAATGTTGCTTTTACATCTTTGGCTCAGAACACAGTATTTCTAACTTTGTTTTTCTTATTACTTAGGAAACTAGAGAAATTTCTCCTTGGAAATGTCAGGGGGAAAATACAGTATTTCGGATTAACTTTAGAAAGCTCAGGTTTAAGGCTTATTGACCAGAAGACCTCTTTCTTATCCAAGTGTAGGGCAATTCATTGCACCTTGAGGTAGGGGAGGAGCAAAATCAGGCTGGCAGGGGTCCACGGCAGGGCAAGCCCTAGGAGCTGGTGAGTCTAGAAGGACGGACTAGAGAGAGCTGGCATTGGAATGGACAATCGCTAGAGGGCGCCGGAGCACTAGCAGAGTCAACCTCCGGGACCCATAAGCAGGGCTTCTAGGATAAGGAATGGAGTTTGACCCAACCCCAAGATATGCCCTGGGGATATTGGTTTTCTCAGGTGCATCTGACTCTCCGGCCTGGATTGCCTCGCTGCGGAGAGGGGACAAAAGGTTTTGCCCTGAGCATCTGGTGGTGTCTTCCAGTGCCTGGTTAGGTTGCTCCGCGGCTGGACAGTCTGACTACTCTCAAAACTCCTCGTGACAGGCCTTTCTGGGGTCTGATCGCCCTTTGTTTCCTTACACTTGGGCCTGTTATCAGAAGAACTCTGAATCCGGAAATACCTTGTTTAAATTTGGGCTACAGTTTTCAAGATCCAGGCATTTGGGTGAATCACTTAACCCGAGTATTAGGATCTGGAAAATGGGGCTAGTAATTGTTGTAAATGTGAGGTGTTTAAAAGTGTCTGGCATTTTAGTGCGTAGATAAATGCTACTTCCTGTGCCCATTCTCTTGGGAGTTCTCCCCAAACTTCACCCTTTAAAAAAAAAAAAAAGAAAAATTAAGAATATATTTTACTTAACACAAAATTTTAAAAAATCATGTAATCGATATAGAGATTATTGAGATATTTTACATTCTTTTTTTTCTAGTACTAAATCTTTGAAATCTAGCATGTATTTTTATACTTACAGCACATTTTAATTCAGATTTGCCACATTTTAAGTGCTTAATGCTCCTATGTGGGTAGTGGCTACCCTATTGAAACAGTGCAGATCTATAAGAAGAGAAAATAAAATTACTTTCGCCATTTTTCCTTTTTGTTAAAGGTTAGCAATAATATATACAATGCTTGGCACACAATAGGAGCTTAACACAGGTTCACTGTGATTGTTATTTGCTATCACCATTTTATTTTTAAATGGGCCTCTTCTCCCATCTCTTATCCCTTCCCCCATCTCTTACCCCTTCCCCCTCAGCAGAAGGGTCTCATTCATCTATCTGTTGAATAATAATTGGTCACAGCATTTATGTCAAAAGCTGTGCTAGGCACTGGGGATAAACATAAAAACTTGAGGCACAGGCAGACTGGTGAAAAGAAACATTGAAATTGTGCTGTTAAGTGTGAGGAGAAAGATGAACAAATGATGCTAGGTAAGAGATAAAGAAGGAGATATTTGGTTTGTCTCAAAGGACCTGGGAAGTGGTCCTTTACAAGTCCTGTTATACTAAGGTGTTTTTCCTCTCCCTGTATTTCAAGGAAACAGGTGGACAGAAGGTAATTTTGAGGGAGAAGTGGAGGGGGTGGCATCTCATTCAGCAGGCACTTTGGTTTGTATGTATTCTTAACAGCGCTAATAGAGATTCTAAAATCTAATCAACTTGCACCATGCCCTGTATGTAGTAATTTCATCAATATCATGAAGTAAATGCCTAAATCATTGACTTAATTCATTTAAACAGAAAATGATTTGGAAGGAAATGTAATAGAAATATAACCAAGAACCTTTACCATTAAGTGATGGGTCTGAAACAATCTAAATAAGAACTCTGTTTTAAAAATATTGAAAGGTGTATTTCATACAAATATCCATAAAAATGAAAAATAATAAGGGCAATAGAATGGCCCAAAACAATACTTTATCATTATCATTAAAGACAAAGAAGGCTTTTAAGATGTTAGTAGCCACTAGCATTGCAAGATGACTGAGGTGATGTCTTTGTTATCTTCGGAGCAGTTGATTCAACAGGTAACTCAGAGATATAAATTTCAGTGGCAAAAGTCAAGGAGTTTTGCACCTGACATTGTGCTAATGTGAAACTAGGGATGGACACCTTTGATCATGTGTGTTAACGTTATCTGGCCAGGTAGACTGCAGAGCTCCCGAGAAGCCATTGTCAGATTTCTTTTGCTTGGTGGCCTTTACGTCCTGTGACTTGACTGATTGTGAATTGTATTGGAGAAAAGGCACGATAAGAGGAAAAGAGTGGAAATAGTTGATTTTTTGGCAACTAATAACACTCATGATAGCTCCTAACCTGATTTAATTTTAAAAAGATGGGAAAATAAATGCCTCTTATGGAATAAGAGAATGTGAGAACTTGGCAATCCCATAAAATTATGCACACCCCTCCCATTTTCCAGATAAGAAAAAAGAGACTCAGCAAGGTGAAGTGACTTGCTCAAGCTCGTTGGTGGCCTAGTTACAGCAGTGAGAATAAAGGCTTCTTCACTCCTGGGCCTGGGGTTCTTCTCTGGCCCATGCCACACCACACTCCTCTCTCCTCTCCACTTCATGCTTCAGGGGGTCAGAACTCTCTCTGTCTTGCTCACAACTGAACCCCAAACAGTGCTAGGTACCTAGTAGTTGCTCAAAAACTTTTGGTTGACTGAATGAAATAAGCTGTTTCTTTCTTCCTCACTCATATCAGGAAATGTGCCAAGAAATCACAGGGTTGCAATGCAGTTTGATAAAGACAAATATGTGTTAAGTTTTGTTATGATAAGGGCTTAAGCTTTAAAAGTAAGCATACTTAGTTTGAACGCTGGCTCTGGCACTTAATAGCTGTTTTGCTTTGGGGAAATTACTAAACCTGTCCCTATTTCCTCATTTGTAAAAATGGAGATTAAACCATATATATAAGGCTATAAGGCAGAAGAGAGGCCTTGACTCACTGTATGTATGCACTCAATGTTTTTTTCCTACTTTCCCAACCTTGCTCTCCATCCATCCTGAGAAGATTTAAAGTGGGATATAGTACTTCTTTTAAAAAGTAATGTTAATTTATTTCAGATAATATGCATTTATCTTGCAGAAAAATAAAATTATTTAATTATATAAATATAAATACATACACAGTCACTAGAAGTGTATATTCTGTGGGTTAGATATTAATAGTACTGTTTTATAAATAATTTGGTCAGTTGTCAAAGCACTGGCAACTGGGAGGAAGAGGAATGAAATTTAGGGTATCCCTATTCCAATTCAGACCAGGGCACATTTATCCAGTCCATGCTTCATAAGATCTTTGCTTCTTGGGCTTGGATTCTCCAAGTTGAAGTTAATTCTCTTTACCATACCCTCTCCTGGCCTGGCTATGCTTCAGCCCCTGCATTGTGTGCCTTGTAACATGGTTATTCATAGATATGACCATGTCTGTAGCATGTTGCAAGCTTTTCCAAGTAGCAGTTGTATATCACACTTCTTGATATGACTCCAGAGAACCTAGAACTTTTTTGGCACATAGGATACTCCCTCTGTCACTCTGGGTGCATCTCCATTCCCTTAGCAAATATCCTGCATCCAGGCAAAGCATGCTTTTAACTTACTCAAAATCTATTCTACGCCTGCTCTCATTTATTAAAAATATTCTTATTATATTTTGATTATTGACTTTATCATATCATCCAAATTGATATATGAAGTTGTATGACATATTACTACTGCACATAGTTGTATCTGTAATACAACATATATTGTACTTCATGAAAAATTTATAATATTTTTCAAGGATTATTTTGACTACGTGTGTGTTGTACTTTACGCATTGACTTTAAATCACAGTCCTCACCTCAAATGTGCTCCACTATATTTGCAAGACTATTCTGTGTGTTGTATGTAGGTAGGTAAGATTGTGTATTGGTGAATGGCATAAATTTTAAGTCAGGAATTCCTAGGTTTGAATTTCAGCTCTGCTTAACCTGTTGAAGCTCAGTTTTCATAGATATAGAATGAGAATAATGATTGTGTCTATGTTATAGGATGGCTGTGAAGCTTGCTGTCACTTGGAAATTACTCAAATTGCAACCTTTATTTGCTGGTGGCATCTCTCACAAACTAGAGGCTTATTAGTAGTTAATTACCCTAATGGTAATGGTTTGCTGTGTTGCAGGGGAATTGTGAAAATTAGAAGTGTGTTTATGAAGGTATGGTAGATATCAGCAACAAAATGTATGCTTTTCATAGCTACTGAATCATTTACCCTTCTTCTCCCTTTCCTCCTCTCCTCTCTCTCTGTTCCTACTCACAAATTTTATGCCCAGCCACAAAAGGTGACTCAAGCGTTATGCTGGAGTTTCTCTAAGATAAAACTTCCTCTGTTTCTAATGGTTCCAGCTTTATTTCAAATGAAAGGTACGTTTAGTACTGGCCCCAGGAACACAACCAGAATACAAAATCAATCATTCCACCCTACAAGACCAGCAGCAGAAATTTATTGTATTTGACTTTGTTTCCCCTGCCCTTGTCCCAAAAGGATCTTAGGCTGCCAGCATTAGACAACATATTGGGTATCTCTCTGTTACGAAAGTCTAAAATGTTACTGGCATAAAATATTATCTTCAAGCCATGGTTCTCAAACTTGAGGATGAGTCAGAATCTCCGAATCTCCTGGAGGGCTTGTTAAAACCCGAAGTGATGGGCCCTTCCTGTGGAATTTCTAACTCAGTGGGTCTAGGGTAGGAGTAAAATAATTTGATTTCTAACAACTTCTAAAGGTGATACTGATGCTACTAGTTTGGACACCACACTTTGGGAACCAGTGCCTTAAATATTTACTTTATGTAGACAAGCCATGAATTTTGTCTCCTGTGTGGTACCACTGAGAACAGCATTAGTGGTAAAGAAAGGGATCTGGCATTTACTGAGCACCTATGACATTTGCCATCTGCCAGGTACCTCATGGGGCACTTTATACACATTATTCTATTTAAGACTCACAGCCACCCTGTCAATCAATTTATGATTATTTATTGAGACCCTATCATGTATCATGTAATGTGCTGTACTAGACTTTGGTAATGTGGGATGAACGAAACAGACATAATCCTGACCTTCTGGATATTATATTTCAGCAAGGAAGACATGCTTGAGCAAATAATTATAAGGGTGATTAGCCTGATATATAAAAAATGGAAGACCAGAGAGGCCAAGTAAATTGGCTGTGATTACACAGCAAGTGGGAGACAGAGGAGACAAATAAAACCCTTAAAAACCATTTTGCTCCAAAATGTACAGTCCTTCCACTAAAACATAGGTGCTCAAACTTTTGATCCACAGGGTGCTTTACACTCTTAATAACTATTGAAGACCCCAGGGCTGGGCGCAATGGCTCACACCTGTAATCCCAACACTTTGGGAGGTCAAGGTGGGCAGATCACTTGAGGTCAGGAGTTCGAGACTAGCCTGGCCAACATGGTGAAACCCCATCTCTACTAAAAATACAAAAATTAGCCCGGCGTGGTGGTGTGTGCCTGTAATTCCAGCTACTCAGGTGGCTGAGGCAGGAGAATCTCTTGAAGGTAGGAGGCACAGGTTGCAGTGAGCCAAGATTGCGCTGCAGCACTCTAGCCTGGGCAACAGAGCAAGACTGTGTCTCAAAAAAAAAAAAAAAAAAATTACTGAAGACCCCAAAGAGCTTTTGTTCACGTGTATTAAATCTATCAATATTTACTGTATTATAAATTAAAACAAAGCAGTTTACCCGTTAAGAACTGCTGTATCAGACCCATGCTGCAAATAGTAACATCTTTTCTAGACTCTGAACCTGAATTTGTTTTGATGATTTTTGTAGCCATCAAAGATGAGAAACTTCTCATCTCCTCCTAAACATTTGTTTTAAACCCAAGGGCTTCTTTTAAGCCTTAGCCTGTATGTCTTGTGATGGTGACTTGCTAAATAAAAGGCTGATCTGGGCCGGGTGCGGTGGCTCACGCCTGTAATCCCAGCACTTTGGGAGGCCGAGGAGGGCGGATCACGAGGTCAGGAGATCGAGACCATCCCGGCTAAAACGGTGAAACCCCGTCTCTACTAAAAATACAAAAAATTAGCCGGGCGTAGTGGCGGGTGCTTGTGGTCCCAGCTACTCGGGAGGCTGAGGCAGGAGAATGGCGTGAACCCGGGAGGCGGAGCTTGCAGTGAGCCGAGATCCCGCCACTGCACTCCAGCCTGGGCGACAGAGCGAGACTCCGTCTCAAAAAAAAAAAAAAAAAAAAAAAAAAGGCTGATCTGCTTTGCAATTGCCTTTTGAAATATTTAAATCTTTATTTATTTTAAAAAGCAACAATTAAAGTATCAATCACGGACCAAACTAAGATGTAGTGGCTTTATTATCCCTTGAAGGATGTAGCTGAAGGTGAAGATAACAGCTCATAAAAGTTTGTGAGCAGCATTGTGTTTGAGTTTCTCTGGGTACACGGCACTGCAAAGGAAGCCCCAGAAAGCAGGCTGAGGGATCACTTCTGCTGCCTCATTAAAGCAAGAGAAAAAAGATGAACGATTGGACTAGAGTGCGTGAGGCTTTTATATAATGTTGGCAGCTGAATTATGGGTTAACGACTGAAATACAGCCCTTTCCCCTCATTTTAATTTGTTGTCTGATGGGAATGAGATGTTCTATAGATATTTTATCTTGGTGTGTAATGGTCCGTGGTTGTTCAGACACTTTGATGCTCTGGCTGACTCTGAATGCTTTATAGCATCATTAAGTTTAACTGAGTAAATTCAACTGAATCGGAGCTGACATAATTCCATGTGGTTCTCAATCGGTGATCAATGAACTCAGATTGCCTTTTATTTTTATGGAAACAAGCGAATGACGGGGGCTGCTGCAGTAAGGTTACTGTGATTATATGGATGTAGCAGATCCTTGGATAAGAAGTTAGAAAACAGGGAATCAGATAGTTGTCTGACTGTTTGGTCTTTTTGACACCAAACATCTAAATCACTGGTTTGCTGAACAACTTTTAAAATTTTTATCCAGATGTTTGACATCAGGCACAACTCACCACCAAACAAGTCAAAAAAGTGCAGATGATCATTTGTCATTTTAGTAGAAGCTGAAATTCACTGTGAAGCATCTCTGCCAGCTGACCTCAGGCAGCATGGATTATTATTATTATTATTTTTTTTTTGTATAGCATCTTTGTGTACAGGAAATACATTTCTGGAGAGAAGCACTTGCAGGAAGGTCCAAGCATCAGTGATTGTACGGCAAGTTGTACCTGTTTTTTTATGCAACATCAAGCAGGAATCTGTGCTGTCCCATGAGGGGCCACCTCCTGGGAACTCTTTTACCTGAGTTTCTTATTCTTTAAGAAGTTGTGAGTTACTTGTCAAGAATTCTCAAATTTTGACTCAATGGTTCCATGGGAACAATGCATATTCTCACTCTGAATGATGAACCCTGTTGGTTTCACAGATTGCTAGGGCTGCTTTTAAGAACTCCTTTTCTCTAAAGCAGGCACAAACAGGGAAGATAGGTGGGTCTCCTTGTTCCTTACTTACCTACCCCTGCCCAGGGAATGGGCTCAGGGAAGACCAGACCTGCCTTCTGATCCTACATGTCCATGTCTGCCCTGTATTTGACTTGCCAGTCAAGCTAAGCAGCCTGGAAATAGACTTGCTGTCTTCAGCAGAAATGGTTGACAGTTATTTTCTATGGGGTGGAATAATAGGGACCTGCCTAATCCTATGGGAATATCATCTTCCCTATGCTGGGGAGAAGAGGTAATATCCAATTTGGGAGGCCTGGTTCTTGGTTACTTAGATCGAAACTTCTATTCCACTTTGCTTGGATGGAGAGAAACAGTTCTATTTGTGAATCCGATTCCCTTCCTGTGTTTTGTGAATACTTCCAATAGGTGGTTACAAAGTTTACTTCCTAAGCTCCTTGTTCTGTGATTTCTTTCCTTTATACATACATTTTTAACTTCTATGAATGGGGAGGTTTGAGGTAAATTAAGATCTGATTAAGGCAAACTTGAAGTCTGCAGCCCAAAAAAGGTCATTGTCAAATGAGATCCAGTAGAACAGGGATCAGCAATCTGTAGCACATGTGTCAATTTCAGTATGCACACTTTTTTCATAAATAAAGTTTTGTAGAAATACTGTCATACCTGTCGTTGTCCATAGCTTCTTTCACCATATAATGTCAGAGCTGAATAGTTGAAACAGCGACCACATGATGTGCACCGCCTACTATCTGATTCCTGATAGAAAAAGTTAGACAACCCCTGCATTTGGAGCATATTTTTATTTGGCCATCTCCAGGAACCTACATAGGAAACATATATAGGGTTCAAAAAATCCAAAGGACTATTATTCTGAAATATGAACTATGGGCCAAATAGCTAAGTAGTAGAACTTTGTTGCTATGCATTGTGAGGATCTTGCACACAGTAAGTACTTGTGGCATGAATGATTATATATTTCTAGATGAATGACTTATGGTGTGGGTTCCATTTACCCATTTATAAAATCAATGTGTTTTATTTAATCTCTAAGGATCCTTCTTGCATGACCATTCTACATAATATTAGCAAGAGAGGTGATGAGGCAAACGTAAACACTTTTGATTCTCTGCATCCCAGTGTGCCAATGTGACAGCCACAGTCTCTTGAATCACCATCAGTCAGATTTATTTAGCATCAGCTGGAATTATCAGGCAGGTACAAAAAGCATGACCATCTGCTGTCACAGTGCTATCAAGAATCTTACCTGGAGAGAAAAAAGGGGATTTAAGAGTTGAGAGCATCAAAGTTGTGCTTTGTGCTTGTTTTGAGTTGGCTTATGGAAGTGGGGTTGAAGAACATACTGTTTATTGTTTGTGTTCAGCAACATTTGAGACTTCCTCGTGTGCGGGTGCAATTTTGGGCATGTTCCAGCTGTGCGGGGCTAGGGTTAACAGTGTCCTGTGATGACCTGCTGTGAGTGCCTTCACTCATGTACCAAAATCATAGGTGAAAATCACACTTCCACTGGTTTCCAAAATTACTCTTTAGGGAGTTGGAGAGCTATGGATGAATTACTTGGAGGGGTGGAGATGATGGTGATCATCTAGCTCTTATTGTCCTCCTTCCATCCCCCAGGGAAAAAAAGTGTAAAACATGTGATCCTGAAAGAAATGTTCATGCTTTATGATATGATTAAGGTAGCTGACTCCCAATTCAAAGCATATACTATGCCACCCTTCAGGAACTGGAGTTCCCACAGTCCCCCTTTCCTGAGAAGACAGCCGGAGTTTCTCTCAGCTCAGCTCCACAGATTTGACCATGGGGTTATCATTTATTAATTTAGACATTTTAGAGGGAGGCACGCTGTCTCTGCTAAGGTGTGAGCAGAGCCCCAGCCTCAGCCTCCACATCAGAATCCCAGGCTGTACCCAGAGTTTTCCTCTCAGGCACTCCAGCCTTCAGAGTGCTGGGATTCAGACGGAGCAGCCCTGCCTGCCTCCCATCTGTGGTAAGTGACTTACTCTCTATGGCAGGATGGGATGGCTGAAAGCAGGCAGGCAGTGAACAACCTGGGGCTGAGGAGGGGGAAAGCCCTTCACAAGCTCTTGTCTCCCATGTGCAGGACGGGTCACTTTTTTCCATTTGGGAAGAGAAGGGTAAGAGGAACAGGATGGGACTGACACTGGCATGATGCAATTTGTGCCGCGTTCTGACTCTTGTACCTTTAAGTTCCAATTTGGAATCGGTTTGACTTTAATTTAGAGATCCATGATGGTGGTGAGAATGTCCTTAATGAGCGTCACAAGTTTAAATGGCCTTTCCCAGCAGACACAGGCTGTAGGGCTAGTGGGCACGGACAGACAGATAGACACAGGAATGTTGCATAAATAGACTTTATCTGGTCCTCTTGGCTGAAGGGCAGCCTTTGTTCCTTTTTAGACTTTTTGTTTCTGACAGTTCTAATTCTTATTAGAACTTTTGAGAACCATTACTCAAAAACAAAAAGCAGAGGGATTGCTTTTTGATCTGCAAATCAAAAGCATGAATTTGGCTAATATTGCATTTCAGTAAAGTGGCATCATTGGGTCAAGGGAGAGCATTATGCTGAATTTTCCTGAATGCTGAATTTTTTTTTATCAGTTGCCTTTATTATTCTGTTTTTAAAAGTAAATGGACAAATTATATGATTGTAAACCTTTCCTATTCCTGTATATGTAGATCTTTATATGTCTCAATAATATATGTCATCATTCATCAAATTTATTTTTCAGATGCATTTTGTCACAGATTTATGCAATACTGTACCTATTAATTTGAATCAAATTGATTTAAACTTTAAAACAATAGCTGTATGACTGTTTCTCTTACTCACCAAGGTGGGCTTAGATTTCATGTGCAATCAAGGTAAAGTCTTAGTGTAGAAGTTTTTTTTTTAATAAGAAATGAGACTGTTTCTGTAGCTTGGAAGTGAAGATGCTAATATTTGGTCTCACAAAATTGGACATAATTTAAAACTTCAACTTGCTTTCTTGCTTGTTTTATTTGTAAATATTGTTCCTGGCTTTGAGAACTTCAGAGCTTTTCCTATTTTTTTTTTGTTTGCTTCACAACTCCTTAGGAATGTGAAAATGGAAAGGTAATAAAGGAAATCTTTTCAAGTTAAAACATGATTCATAAAGGTGACAGCCATGCCATATGTGAAGAGTGATTAACAGCTGCAGAGTCTGCAAACAGCTTTTTAAAAAGTTCTTGATAAAGCAGAGTTTCCCATTATTTCACGTTTTGGTGGTTGCTCAAGTGCATCGCCCTAATTTTCCTAAGCTTCATTTTATTCTGTAGCAATCGAATCACTCTTCAGGTCCCAGCAGTGCTATATTAGGGCATGCTTAAATATTTCATGTATATCCCTGGTTATTCTTTCAGTGATATTTTCAATTTCATGACAATGATGTGGTATATTAAAGCCATAATCTCCTCTAAAGCTGCCCATTTTATTTCTGCAGCATGAGTTTGGATAGGCAGATATGAGAGCATTTCCAAGGCTTGCCCATTTGGAACTGGTTTGCTTTAATGTAGAGAGTTGTGATGGTGGTGGAAATGTGCTTAATGAAGTGTTACAAGTTTAAATGGTCTTTCCTAGCAGACACAGGCTGTAGAGCTGGTGGACACAGACAGATAGACATAAAGATGAGGGGTGCTAGGGGAAGAAAGTCCCTACTTCAAAATTCAGTTGTCATTTTAGCAAAATAGGTTAATTCTAGAAAATGCATTTTCATGAAACTCAGTTGGCAAATTAATCAATCAATCACTCTTTTCCTGATTAGCAAACCCCTGACAACTTGCTTTGCTTCTCCTCAGGAGTACAGGATAGTAGTTTTAAAATATTGTTCATGCCACAGTTCCCTTGGAGAAACTGCTAAAAACTATGGACTCTCTAACCAGAAAAATCAAGCCCACATAATTGTGTGCATCTGATTTTGGGGGTTTATGGACATCCCTAAAGCATACACCTTCTTTTCCCATCAAGAACTCCTTCTTGGTCTCAGCAATAGATGTCTTCTATGTGGCAAAATTCTTTTTTAAAAATATATACATTAACACTCACACACTATGGCATTTCTGTTAGAGGGAAAAGGGAGCAAATGGAGACGTCTTGGGTAGGCTCTTTTTTAGGATTGCCACAAAGAGTTGTACATTTGCCAAGATTTGGGCATCCAACCTTCCTGTGTTGTCTGGGGGCACACTCTGAGTTGAGCATCTGGGTCTTTAGGGGTGGGTGGAGGAGGAGTGATAGCAGCGCCTCAGGGAGTTGGCAGTGAGGGAGGCATGGCTGTGTGCCAATGAGTATCCTCAAAGATTCTCCCCTGCCCCCACCCCGTGGAGCCTCTGAGCCCTGATTCCCTGATGGGCTGCCCAGGAAGCCGGTGGGCTGAGCATGTCATGTGATGCCTTGGCACTAATAAGAGGAGAAGGCCTCCCGCTATAACTCCTGTTGGAGAGCCAGTGACATCCCAGGCTTTTGCCCAAATGTCCTTGAGTTCTACACCCTGAGCCTTGAAATGCAGCTTTTCTGGGGCTGACTTCCCAGGATCGGTGGTGCTGTACTTTCAGGAGATGGTGTTTGCTGGCCAGTGAAGCACAAAATCAGAGTGAATGTGGTTCACATACAGCTTTATGTAGGTGCATCAACGAGCCTGGAACTAGGTGCCGGGTGCCCTCTAAGACACCAAGAGCTATTTTGGAAATAGAAAGGGAACAAGTATATAAAAATGGAAGATCCAGAAATACAAGGGTAAGACTTGTCCTTTATTCCTTCTTTTCCTCTTTTTTTCCATTCTCCCTACTCTTCTTTTCATCCTTTCTTCCACTCCTTTTTAATCTTTCCTTCCATTTTCCTTTCCATCCTTCCTTCCTTCTATTCTTCTCTCCTTCTCTTTCTTCCCTTCTCCCATCTTCTCTCACTCCTCCCTTCTCGTCTCCACTTTCTTCTCTTTTATCATTTCCTTTCGTCTTTTCTTCCTTTATATCCATCTGCTCATTCCTTACCGCCTTTCTTCAATTCAACAGACATTTTCAGTTGTTTACCATGTACTGTTTCTTATTAGCTTGTGTGGAATTTTGATTACTTTTCCTTCACAACAGGTCTACCTTCTGGCTACCGAGGGACATTTTTGTCCTGCATTACCTTTCCCCAGCTCCTTCTTTCTTCTTTGCTTGCCTTCTTTAGTCATGTGATCGGCTAGCATATATTGAACACCTACCACATGCAATTTGCTGCCTTAGAGAAAAAAATCTAAAATAGTGATGGACTTCACTCTGAGGAAGGTTAAAATTAAATTTAAGAATTGAGGTACACACATGTGAAAAGGCGATAATAGTGTTATAGTTACATGATGTCACCAAACAGGAATGTGAGATGATGCAAGACAGTGTGAATATGACTGCTAGATGGATGAAGGAGAAGCCTTTTGAGTCCTGAGAACGGACCAATTTGTGAGATGGGTGGGTTTGAGAAAGACTTATAGAGAAGGAGAGTAAACTAGGTTTCCAAATAGGATTTTAATATTCAAAGAGGAGAGAAAATTTCAATCCAGGAATTGATGTAAGTAAAAGTGCAGTGGTCTTTATTTTTGTTACCCCAGTTTTTCAAGGTAAAGTTCTAGGAGAACCTGTTTTTCTCTCTCAGGGTTCCTCTGACTTCTTCACTCCTGGACACTGCCATCTCCTCTTCAGTGTCCCCCAAATGCCATTTCTCTTCAGCTGGTGATGGGCTCAGGGGAGCCATCTAGTCTATCTCAGACCCATTCTTGATCAGTAGATTGGTCACTTTATGTTGCAGGCAAAAACCTGCTGACAGTGGAAAGCTAAGTTGAAGAGAGAATGTTGAAATATAAGTCCTAGATCGGTGGTTGAAATTCCAAACTTTGATTTTTGTAAGATCTAGGGTAAGCCAAAGCATGCTTCTGAGGCTAATGGTCTGACACAATGGATATCTCAGAGAGCCTGGGAGTCAAGAATTTCGTTTGGAATTCCTAGGTTAAGTGGTCTAGTATGATTGAGTTCAATCCAGGGTGTAATACGTGGCGTGCTAGTGAATTTTTGCTTTATTTGTATTGCACAGCTCAGGATTGAAAGAATCTTAGAAGTTATCTTGTCTTTTACATGGTCCAATTATATAGTCTGGAAAAGTCTCCAATTTTCTTACTCATTGATATGTACATTTATTTCACCTGTGTTTTTGGATGTTTTCATAGCAAATGTATGGTTATAAGCTGAAACCAATTCAAATCATATAGTTTCAATATCCCCAATCCATGGGGGATATTTTCAGGTGTCTGAGAAGCCCCAATTCTTGGTTTATGTCTGAATCTTTTATGGAAATGACTTGCATAAAATCCAGCTGAGATGCTGTGTTTTCAGCCTAGCTGTAGAAGTTGAAGATTCTGTTTATTCCCTCTGAGGCTGGCATTTCTCTGTGATTGTTCCATTTGATCCCTTCAATGGCTTAGCCTCATCAGCAGCATTGCTTGGGAGATATAGGTTGTTGAGGTCCCTCTGCTTGTGGCCTTTTGATTTTTGTCCTCGAGTAAAGAAAACAATCCTTTTATCAAATATTTGCCAGCTGCTTAGGATACACATTTCTTAATTGGTACGTTTTGACTGATTATTGAAAAGTTTACATTCTGACATCATATCGTATATGATATATGTGTTGGGTGTGTGTGTGTGTGAGTGTGTATGTCTAAGGAATTAGAAGAGAGGACTCTTTTTCCTTCTAAGGACAGCAGTTGATTCTTAGAGTCTATTGGAGCTTTCCTTCCCTTCTTTTATCAGGTGAAACTTGGTTGAAAGGGTTACCTTCTAGCAGAAAGGAAGGGGGAAGATATGCCTGCTGGTAAATGTAAGCCTCACTGTAAGCTCTCCTAGAATGCTGTTGTCAAAAGGAAATTTTGATATTATTTTATTTAACTCTCTGTGTTATAAATAAGAAAAACCTAAGCCCAGAGATGTGCAATAATTTGAGCCAATAAATAAGAAAAACCTAAGCCCAGAGATGTGCAATAATTTGAGCCAAATTATCTTTGCAGCAGATTAAAGATAAACCAGGATCAGAGTATAACTTCTTTGACTCTGAAATAATTAGATGCAGAGAATCTTTGTAACCTATTATAAAAATATGTTAGGCAAAGAATGCAATGATAAATAAATTATATATTTGAGCAGCAGAATAAATCAAACAGTTTTGTTCCATATTTCATTGGAAGTGATTTAACAGAAGTTTAAAAAGCTTTAAAAATAAGAGATAAAATTAATTTTAAGAATACAGAGATATTTTACAAAAATAATAGGATCCATTTTAAAATATTCTTGGTTAAACAAAAGTCAATTTTTTTCCACACGACTTTCTCCTAACATGATACAATGACTTTGGAAGTATATAATACTAAAATAATTAAAAGCTATCCTATTGCTCAAAAACATTAAATAACTATTTTTTGAATGACAGAAGCCAAGAACACAATATATTAGAAGACAATAGAAATATAACCCTCCTTATATACACCATGGAATGCAATTAAAACTATAATTAGACTACATTTTCTACTCCCAAATGTCAATGTTAAAAAGAACAAAGAGAGAGATTAAAATAGTGTATAGAATTTAAAACATTTTAACGGAAAAAGAAAGAAAAAGTAAAATGGAAATAATCTGGATACTGAGGAGGAAAAAATCAAGTGGTCTAATGAACAAAGTCATAATTTCTAGCCCAAGCTTGATGGTGCCTCTTTCTTTCCCTCCTCCTCCTCAGGCGACCCTAGCCCTTACCTCGGTCACTAGGAAAGTCAGGGTGCTTGTTCCCTGCCCTTCTCAGAAACAGGATCTTGGAGAGAGAGAGATGAGGAGTGGGGGTGGGAGGAGCATTCGGGGGGAGGAGTAGGCTGGCCCAGGGGTCATTTGTTCTACCCATGTCCCCTTAGGGAAGGCTCTGAGAGGGTGCTCCATTCCTGGCTGTAGGTATATTCCCAGGGCCTTCCAGCCTGCAGCTATTGAAGGAGGGGCTTTCTTTACAGAGCTGCAGACATGTCTTCCAAGACTCTTCACTGGCAGCTGCCACTCTTAGAGCTTAGCTGTGTTTAGGAGCCCTCAAGAAAGGGTAACATTCTCTACATCATGGGAGAGTGGAGCAGGAGGAGTTTACTGATAATTATGCACAATTTGGCTGAGCTTCAACTCAGACTTTGTTTGTTTTTTTCCCTCCTCTCAGAGTCACTACTGACAACCCCAAATACTTATTGATCACCTATATTGGTTGCATTATCGTAAGCAGCATTATACAGAAGTTAGGACCACAGGCTCTAGGGCTGGGATGCCTGAGTGCAAATCTGGGATCCACCACCTCTAGCTGCATTGTTTTGGGCAAGATATACAAACTCTTTGTGTCCCAGTGCCACTATTTGTCAATATGGAATAATAATAATACGAGTTCCCAGCTCATAGGTTGTTGTGAGGTTATTAAATGAGAAGGGACTTAAAACATTTTGAATAGTGCCTGGCACTGAATAATTATTCCCAAAATGTTAGCAATTATTATATTATTCTAAAATACTAGGCAAGGATGTAATAATATGAAGAAGTATAAAATGCCATCTTTACTTTGGAGGAATTATGGTCTAATCTGGGGAACTGAACATTTTTTAATTATGAAAAAAAGTTGACCTTGGGTTCTGATAATTAGCAAATGAAGAGTTGTGATGTCTGAAGATATATCATCATGACTTCCTGCTGCTGTCTATTGGTTACGGATGAGCAGAGGTTTCCTGTTCCCAATAAAGGGTAAAGCATGTGGTCAATGTAATGTCTTCCAGACCCTAGCCCTCTGAGAAATCTTCCTTGTGTTTTATTCACTCCTAAAAACAACAACAACAAAAACAAAATAAAACTTCCGGTTATTCAGGTTTAACTCAATGTAATTGCCTAAATAAATACAAGATACATGAATTCTTTTTATTTTCTTTTATTTTTGAGATGGAGTCTTGCTCTGTCACCCAGGCTGGAGTGCAATGGCGTGATCTTGGTTCACTGCAACCTCCGCCTCTGGGGTCCAAGTTATTCTCCTGCCTCAGCCTCCTGAGTAGCTGGGATTACAGGCGTCCACCCCTATGCCTGGCTAATTTTTGTATTTTTAGTAGAGATGGGGTTTCACCATGTTGGCCAGGCTGGTCTCGATCTCCTGACCTCAGCTGATCCACCCGCCTCAGCCTCCCAAAGTGCTGGGATTACAGGCATGAGCCACTGTGCCCAGCCAAGATACATGAATTCTTAAATATGCCGCTGTTATTAGGACCTTCTCTTTGGTGGTTGTCTTTTTAGTATCCTGAAGAAATGTAAAGGAGACCACCTGACTAGCAGACTCTTGGTTTATTAATGTCATAGTACTTAGACAGATGCCATGGAAGCTAGTGTTCGGATATATCTTAGAATGAAGCATCCATGCTCCAGGTAAGTCCCTTTTCTTACTGCATTACATCAATCTTCTCAGTTTAATTTTCTTGTCAGCTTAATGATGTCAAGGATAGAATCAGATGAAGGACTTCCCACCATTGCCATCTTACCTGCTAATTTCTATTTGCCCAGGAGCCTCTTGGTGGCTTTCACAACTTGTGTCTATAAGCTGAGCTCAGGTTCTGCCCACCCACACCCAGTACCACCTAGAGCAAGGATCAGCACACTGTGACCAAGGAGCCAAATCTAGTACCACCTTTTTATAAAGAAGGCTAGCTGGGTGCAGTGGCTCACACCTGTAATCCTAGCACTTTGGAAGGCCAAGGTGGTCAGATCAGTTGAAGCCAGGAGTTTGAGACCAACCTGGCCAACATAGTGAAACACCGTCTCTACTAAAATTACAAAAATTAGCCAGGTGTCGTGACACATGCCTGTAATTCTAGCTACTCAGGAGTTTGAGGCAGGAGAATCTCCTAAACCTGGGAGGCAGAGATTGCAGTGAGCGGAGATCGCACCACTGAACTCCGGCCTGGGTGACAGAGCGAGACTGTCTAAAAAAAAAAAAAAAACGAAAAAGCAAAAGAAAGCTTTACTGGAATACAAGGGTATAGACCCATGATTTTATATATTGCCTGTGGCTGCTTTTGTGCTACAATGGCAAAATTGAATAGTTGTGACAGGGACCATATGGGCCCCAAAGCCTAAAAAATGTACTATCTGTCCCTTTATAGAAAAAGTTTGCTGACCTGTGACCTAAAGATTAGACATGCCAGTCCCATAAAGGAACAGAAAGAAGTCTTCCCAAGGCAATACAGGGGGCAGAAATCACCAAGGTTCTACAGAAAAGGAAATTCAGAATATGAAAGGATAAGATAAGAGTAATAAGGTTGCCTGTAGAACAAAGGGGATGATGTGTTAACTGGAACACTTTTGACACAGGCTCCTGTTGCTTAAGCTGTGGTATATGTTTCTTCTAATCCCAATTGAAATTGTCCTTCATAATATGATTTCATCACAGAAGTCACATGCAGTATTACAGTAGTGAAAAATGTTATGAGTTGCTTTGAAATGAGGCCCTATTCTCTCATAGCTATTCTATGCTGGCTGTTTACAATTTCAGAACAAAACTGTCTTTTGGGGTTTGACTTTGCTTTCTTAAATGATGATTCTGAACTAGGCGATTAGGGTTTCCCCTTCTCCAGCTACTAGGGCCTCCTCATTTCTTTGCAGGTACTAGGTTTTTCTGGGCCACCAGCTATGTGTGAAATGTCTCTAAGGAATGTACATGTGGCAATTGTTTGCCATTCCCTTTCCATCATTAAAAGGGCCACAAGGAAAACTTAGCAACGGAGTGTGAAATCCAAGCTTTTTTACAAGGAATCCTGTGCAAGAGCTCAGGAGCTACTTGTTTTCCATATGTAGTTAATCCTGTCTGTGCAAAGAGGTTGTCAATCTGATCCCAGTTCTCTGCCAACTCGTTTTTGTGATTTTGAGCAAACCCCTTTCTAAAGCACAAGGGATCTATCTACTGTGGGCCTGAGCTCTGGGACTCTTCTTCTCAGCAGGCTGTTCACTTTGGCTCAAGAGTGCCTCCATCCATGTAGGGTGACTTTGCTAATTTGCACAAAGTCGCCCTATGGGCTAGCAGCAGGCCTATCCCTTCCCGTTTCTGAGCTTCAGTTTCCCCAGCTAAGAAAAACAGAGGAGATGGTTTCCAAGCTATTTTCTAGCCTTGGAGCTTTAATTTGGAGGTCCTTTGAGACAGTCTGTGCAGGTTGGGTAAGCAGCTGTCTTCATGCTGTGTGGTGCTCCCCTACTGGGGTGCCTTTGAAGCTATCAGGAAAAGCCATGTGCCAGGAAGTTCTTGGGGTTTGGAAAAAAGGGAGCTCTTGAGTTCCCCTAAGGACAGGACTCTAACAACTAGAAGTAACAGCATTAAGGCAGATATTGGCTATAAAGTGGGAGGAGGGGTGTCAGACCAAAGGCAGATGTGGCTATGTCTGGCCTGATTTTGCTCAGCTTTGGAGCAATGAAGAGAGTCACGGCCCCTCTGACTACATGCACTGTGAGAACATTTGCCTAAGTATCATGTATCGACAATCTTTTCTCCCTGACCGGGCCATCACTGGGGTTATGCCTGGCCACTGAAAATGGGGACCTGGACACAAGTGTCCAGATACCCAGGCTGAGCAAAGCAACAATAATAAATGTCAATTAGGTGCCCTGTGAGCTGTGAGTACATGATGGTGAGGCTCACATTGCAGGAGTCAAGGAACCCTCTAAAGAAAGAGGCCACGACTCAGCATTCTTGAGATTTCTGTCAAACTCAAGCTAAAATTTCCTCAGATTATTGAAGCGTTTGGTAGATTTCTCTTAAAAACCATATTTTGTTCGTTTTTCCTCCCACTTTGTTGGACCATAATAATCAGTGCTTGGTTATTTGTAGCTGTGTGTAGAGAGGGTGCTAAATGCTTTCTTGTCATCCCATGTAATTTAAACTTCACGCCAGGTTAGGTGTAGCTGGTTCTGTCTGCATTTGGCCAAAGAGGAAACTGAGATTCACTGAAGTTAGGCAATCTGCCCAAGGCCATAGAGCTAGAAAGTTCTGCACCTAAGATTTAAACTCGGAACTTATAGCCAGGTGATAGTACTTTTCAAAGACACGCCCCATGCCTCCCTATACTACCTTGAATGTGGCTAATTTAATTGCTAGTGCAATGAGGCTGCAGGCAAAGAGGGCACTTCCTTATCTGTTTAGAGTTAACATAACCCAAGGGTTCTCAACTTCAGCATGATTGACATTTTGGGCCCTAGAATCATTTGTGTGGCTATCCTGTGCATTATAGGAAGTTTAGTAGCATCCCTGACCTTTACTTACTTGGTCCTAATAGCAGCTTCCCCATCTTTTCCCAACTCAGTTGTTAACAACTTAAAATATCTCCAGGCTTTGCCAAATACCCCCAGGGGACAAAATTAGTCCTGATTAAGTGAGAGTTACTTACATAACTAAATGTTTACCTGCCACTAAAGAAGAAATCTCTGCATACATAATTTTTTCCACTGGCTCTTCTTTTTCTCCTCTTTTGTACAAAAATTCTGTTATGAATGACCTGGGTCATTCTCCCTGCCTGACTGACATCCTGGAGTGTGTCATTGAAAACCTTCACCTTGCTGGCATCTTCCCAAATTTCTCAGACACCCTCTCTTTGAACCTGGAGCTTCCTGGGGAAGTATTAAGAGCCAACCAGCTATGAAAACAATGTGCTCTTCCCTGTGCTAAGTGCCTCTTCTTAGGCAGTAAAATGCTTCAGTGGTATGAACATATGGCATCAACATGGCCTCTGAAAACCATGCTGGGTGTTTAACAAGCATGGAGGGATGGGGACAGGCTGTGATGAGCTCTGGAGGCTTACAGAACAGGACCTCCCCTCCCCCAGGAGCAGAGGTTCCTCAGGGATCTTGACTCCACATAGACCAAGGCTTTGTGGGAAAGAGAGCTAGTGCCTTGAAGCTATTGCATTTTTTTCCTTTAATAAAACACCCTGCAGACCCTGACATATGCCACAGACAGAGACAGAGCAGCCATGTGACCCAGTGCCAGCTCTTACCTCTGACTCCAGACAGGCATTCTGCTGAAGTCCACCTTCTATTAGGTAAGAGGATGTGGGCAGCTCCGCAGTGACCCACTGCATTCTGTGTGCATACCCTCCCTCCTGAGGGCAGGGCCCATCAACTTTGAGAGTTATAGGCCAAAATAAACAGCCCGGAGCATTGGTCACAGAGCAGGTTTTAAGGCTGCTCAGCAGCCTGGTTTAATAATCCCAGGATGCAAAAGGCTAGAAGGATCACTGGCATATTTTTCTAGAAAAGTGGACTGCCTGTGAATTTTTATAATAATGCTTAGAGTGAGACATCTCCTTCTTGAGTGATATCATCAATATGATGTATTGATAATGAATATTTTTATGGGATTTTTTTAAGAAAAAAAAACATAAGTTTTTGGAGCTAAATAAAACCACCAGGAAAAAATCATTAGAAGTTTAGGGAGCTCTTCTTCATAAAAGAATTTATGGGCATATCTGACTGAACCCATAGCTGACAGTGTAAAATGTACACGTCTGTGCACATTCATGCCCATGTGCACAAATGTGCACATATACTCTTTTCTTCATATGGAAACATCATGGGGCTTCTGGCCAGATGAACCTGTTTAAATTCCAGCTCAGTCACTTCCTGCATGTAAAGCATGGATGAGTTGCTTAAGGTCTCTGAGCTTGTTTCCTTGTCCTTAAAATAGGAATAATAGCTATATTATGGCATTGTGATTAAGGTTAGAAATAATGTATTAGAAGTTGCAAAACATGGAAGGTACTTGATAAATGATATTATTTTTATCAACACAATATCTTCATATGAACCTTAAATAAAACAGATACCAAGTCTGCTCTAGAATTGATATTTTTAGATTACTCTTCAACAGTTAGGTTGTTACACCTAATATTTACTCCATTTCACTCGAGACTGGGTGTGGGTATTTTTTTCATTTTGTATACCTTCATTCAATCCTCATTCAATAAGAAATAATAAGTCATATTCCAAGAAACTGAATCATTCCCATATAACATCTTCAAGACTCCAGCTTTTCATTCGTTCCACATTTATTAGCACCTACTGTGTACCAGACACTGATCTAGGGACTGGGAATTCCACAGTGAAAACAGAGACAAAACCCCCTGCTTTCCAGGAGGTTACATGCACAATGTATTCCAGCCATGCCTCCAACAAAGAAATGTGCCATTCAAATTGGAGCTATCCATTGTGAACAAACTTTGTGCCACACTCTGTGCTGATTGCTTAGGGAAGACGGGTGCAGTGATGAACAGAAACCCTGGAATATGGCAATGATGGTGGGTGTGTTGGGTAAGTGACACATGAGCAAGTGACTGTGAGACAGAAAATACAAAATCATGACAGGTGTCATGGCAATCCAAGAATTGATTTAGAATAAATTTATGATGAATAATTCATTAAGGCTTACTAAGGAAAGTTGAATACAGTGCTTGGAAACATAGCATGTGAATGTTTTAATGAATGAACTGTTGAATGAAAAAAAAAAAGGGCTGCTGTGTATGGTTGTGCAGGTTTCACATGGCACAACTCCAAGGCATACCATTTAAATTGTGGAGATAGTCAACGTGCAACTTACACGTGCAGCAACTCTGCCAAACATTTCACACACACGTCTCATTTAATACTTCCAACAATTTAATACTTACGTCGTGTTTTCTTCATTTTGCAAGCATGGAGTTGGGGATTCAGTGAGGTTCATAAAGTGAGTCAGTAGGGGTACTCTTACTTGGCATGCAGACATGTCTGACTCCAGAGTTGCTGCTTGGAGAATAGGAGAAAACAGTCCCTTGAAGATTAAACTTGATAATTTGAGTCACGTCTCATCTTTGAACTAAATGCTTAGGTTTCTGGGGTCAAAAAGAAGTGAAGACAGGGAAATGATTACTTTTCCAGATTTTGGGCTTCAAGTCATGAACTCTGTAAGACCCTTGCCCTGTTTTCTGTTACTAGAACAACATCATACTCTTAGCTCTTCTTCCTCATTTCTTCAAGAGAAGAATGGATCATACATTCTAGAAAAATCCACCTGGTAGAGGTGCCGAGCACATCACAGTCATCATTAACAAAAAATAAAGGATAACAGCCCTGGACCAGCAGAAATGAGCAGCTGTCATTGTAGGAGCTTTTATTATAGCAGAGGCTCAGCTTCTCAGCAGGGGAATTACATCCAACTCTGATGTGCTGTTTCTTTTAGAACTCATTTTTGATATCATTCCATTCTTGAATCAGCAGCAAATGAGATAATACAGTATCAGGTTGGTGTCTTCTCACATCTAGTTAATTGTGAAATAACAAATCCTGCTCCACACTGCCCCTTTGCGGTCTGGGCACGTCATGCCCCATTGTGACCTTGGAAATCCAGTTACTTCTGATTGCTCATTGCTTCTCAAGGCAATTTATTTCTCAATCAACTTTTTAACACAACAGCTCAGCCCAGAGAACAACAACAAAAAAAAATGGAAAGAAAGGTTTATGTCAGGTTAAAGAAATATTGTGGATAACAATGAACACAATTTTATAGTTTCAGGCAACAGAAGATTTCGAGTTGTATGATTTTGGAAGAGGAATGCAGCAGACCTGATTTGGAAACATCTTGCTTGTTATGCTGTAAACTTCTCTCAAAATGTCACAGTCTGTAGATACTTAGAGAGAGCCTAAGTTGTAAACAGGCTTTGCTTCTTCTATGCTGTTCATTTTTCTTAAGGCAAGCGGGGGAGGAGTAAGAAAGATTCCTATTTTCAAGTTATATGCTTGATTTCTTCGCAATGACCCTAAGAGGAAGAAATTATTATCTCAATTTTATTGATGAGGAAACTGAACTCTTCAGATGTCCTATGGCCCATGGTGGTGTGTCCAGGTTCTTCATCTCTGGATTGACTCCTGCATAGCCATGCTTTTTCCATGATATCATATATTTTGACAGTCAGTGAGGGGCCACTTTCCTTAAATAGAAGGAGGAACAAGTTCTGTGTTAGTAATGGTAATATCCCCTGCAGGTAAATAAAACAACAACAATACGTTGAGATCAGTGAGTGATTACTCTTTGTCAGATGGTGTACTGGATGTTATATTCTCACAGAACTGCAGCAAGGAAGATGCTGTTTTCCTGCCCATTTGACAGCTGATGATGTTGAAGCTCAGAGATGTTAATAACCTCCCCAGGGTCATACGGCTGTTAAAAGTACCCTAATCTTTGTAGTATTATGTTTTGTTTTCTCTGTTAGACTTCAAACTTCCAGGAGGCAAGGACTGTTTCTTATTACAATTCACCCTTGAACAATATGGGTTTGAACTGTGAGGGCTTTTAGAAGTGGATTTTTTTTTTCAATTAAATGCAGGATGCAAAACCTGCATATATGGAGGGCTGTCTTTTTTATACGTAGGTTCCAGAGGACCCACTGGGAAACTTGGGTATGTGTGGATTTGGGTATATGTGGGGGTCCTGGAACCAATCTCCTGAAAATACTGGGGAATGACTATAATTTCCTTATCCTGAAAACCCCCTGCAAAGTGGTTTCCCTGTGGTAGGTCCTTAGTAAACACTTGAATAGATGAATGTCAGCTGGTCCTGAATTCTGCCCTCCCTCATGCTTTTGGTCCCTTCACACATGTTGACCAATCCTGTATAATCAGGTGAACAGATGGAGAAAAAGGATGTGTTAGTAGATTGTTGTCTTCCTTTTGTAAAGTATAGTAGCCTATAGCTATTATATATATATGATAGAAATATAAACATATATGTGTGTGTGTGTGTGTGTGTGTGTGTGTGTATATATATATATATATATATATATATATGTAAAAATGGCACATTCATTGTTTTGTTGTTTTTTGGTGACTATTAGGATAGGATAGGTCATGCTAACTTGACAGATAATCCCAGTGGCTTAATATAATTGAGTGGCTCTCCAGGGCAATTGTCCTCTGGTATGAGTGGTTCAAGAGACTGCCTTGATCTTTGGCTTTGCCATTTCAAAACAAGGCTTTCTTCATAGTCACCACAGAGAGCAACTGGGTGCTGTTTCTGTTTTATACCTGTCATTGAAGAGCCACACATCAGTTCTGGTCACATCTTATTGGCTGAAATTAGTCACATGGCCCCAGTAGTCCACTAATAAGGTGGAAAAGAGGAATTATCTTTTGCGCCCAGAAGGAGAGAAAAATGGATGTAAGTGAGCCCAAAAGAATCTATTCTAGTGGTGTTGGTCCTTTATTTTTTTTCTACCTCTGAGTTATAGAAAGGATTTGAGGTAATGGCTATACTAACATGAGATTTCTTCAGAATAGCTTCATGGTCTTGCAGTTCCACTGGGAATGTGCTATTACATTCGTTTCCAAATGCTTAACCATAGTGGCTCATGTCCAACTCTGGCTATTTGAAATTTCTTGATGTTGGTTATACCAGTAGCTGTAGTTTTTTAAGGGTAACATATTTCCTGTAAACCATCAGGAATGTTTTAGTTCAGGAAATTGTTTCATTTTCTTTCTTAATACTGTTTCACAGGCTAGCTTAACTTGAGTTCTTGCTTTTTTTTAATGTCAGTGTGAAAACCTTTTTCATCAGATTGTTAAAATCTTCACAATACAATGCTAAGTAAACTTAGCAGAATATAAAACTATATCCATTATGATCCCAAATTTCTCTGTCTTTCTGAAAATTGTTGTCTGCATCTTTCTGTCTCTGTCTCTCCACATGTACATACACACATATGCAGACATACATGCATCCTATACTGGAAATTAATACACCAAAATATTAATATCAGTTATCTCTGAGCTTAAGGGTTATCTTGATTTTCTTCTCTATATGCTTTCCTAAATTTAAAAAATATACCGAAAAATGCACTTTTGTTTTGCTTAGGTGTGTTATAATCAGAAGATACATTTTATATAGACATAGATATAGAATGGATTTTTTAAAGTATCTATTTTTTTTTGTAATTTTCACAGAAGAGAATTAAATGATGCTCATTTTAGATTACTTACCTGCTTTGTTGCCTTTTTGAAGCCATTTAGAACTTGGAGACAATGCTGACAGAAGGGTGTGGAGAGCAGGATAGGAGGGAGATGCCATTCAGAGAGGAGGAGACCATCATTTCCATCATGAAATCCAATTTAATCAGGGTCAGCCAGCCCCTGCATTGCTCTCCCCTTCTACTCTTTCAGGTTAGTTAATTTGGGGGCATCTTCTGATGAATGCCATCTTGCAATTAAAATGCTGATGCCGGCAAGTTTCAGCATCTCAGCTTCCATGGCCCCTAGCTGTCAGCAGCCTTGTCTTTTTAATCAGGATCTATATTGCTCCCTCCTATCAAGTAACTTTTTACTTTCCCAGATCCCAATAAACTTGGATGGAGAAGAGAGACATCAGCTGAATTTTAATTTAATCATTTGCTTCAGGAAGCATACTAAAAAGATGGCATTATGATGGTTTGTGTAATATAATTCAAGGACAGTGTGCTTGTTGAGGTCTTACTCCCACTGACTCCTCACCCATTGTAGAGCCAGGGTGAGCAGAAGGTCTGTCACCCAGAAGCAGGTGGTGAAGATGGCTTTTCATAGAAGTAGTAGAGAGAGAAGGGCCCTCAGCTGTCAAGGGCATCACACACCTGCTCTCTGAATCATGAGAGGAAGGACATCAGAGGTCTACTAGACTGCTCCTCAGGAATAAATTATCTAGGCAAGGTCCTGGGGTCAGCAGAGGGTGAGTAGACTGGTGGGGGCTTTGTGGAAAAGCTGATTAGACCTACAGCTTAAAGCCTCTCTGAAAAGAGAGCATCATCTAAAATAAGCTGAGGAGTTCCTCTCTGTGACAAATAACCCTGTCCTCCCTCACTTGTCCCCTTAACTGCATAGTTTTGCTAAAGAGGCAGCCATGATGTCATCTATGTGATCCATGTCAATTCACATGCATATGAATGTAGTGTGTACATTCAATGCATACGCAAGCCATATCAGCTTATATCTGCCAATGATGAGCAAACAAGCAGATTGTGTCTGTGACAATGTGTTTCATTCAGAACTCACAGTTAATTCATTTAACTCTGTTTTTCTTGTACCCTAAAGTGCATATGAATCATCTGGAGATCTTGTTAAAATGCAAATTCTGACTCAGTAGGTCTGGAATGGGGCCTGAGATTCTGCATTTCTACTCAGGTTCCAGGTAATGCTGAGGCTGCTGATCTAAGGACCACACTTTCAGTAGTAAGGACTTAACTGACAGCTGTTGTCTTCATTGGGATCATCAGCCTATCAGAAGGGATAGGCTTGGCAAAGTTTGGCTTTTTGATCCATTCTTCTATTTAAATTTTTACTTATTACAAAGGATACTTGTTTAAATATGCACTTTGATATGTAAATAACTCTTAAAAGAATTGACTCATGGGTTTTTTGTTTTTGTTTTTGCTTTTTATACCAAGAACAGAAATGTCCAAATGGACACCATCAACTGATTTTCTGTAGATGCAGATGTAACAGAAACACGCCTCCTCACATAAATCCTGCGTCATATTTTCACAAACTGCAAACTTCCTGAGGACAAGTGTCAATGCTTCAGGCAGACAAATGCTTAATAAAGACTTTCTTGTCATTCTTCACATTCTTTTAGTGCTACCTTTTTGGATAAACTTGGGAAAAAAGAAGAAATGTATTTGAGTAAGATGTGGCAAGAAAAATTAGAGAAAATCCTCTGGAACTTCACTGCCTTGTATTCTTCTTGAAATCAGAGTTCAACTCCTTACAAGAGTTTCATAAAAGTGACAAGTCAGCAACACATTAATGAGAGCCTTAGTTCCTGTCACTGGCCTTTTCTTCTTCTGAGGCTTTCTGCCAAGACATGGGTTTAATTTAATATCTCCATCTCTGCAGCAATTGGTCTTTGACCTTTGAGATTATTCTGAATGCCATGGTGTACTATTGAGATGATAAATGGGGCACATAAGGGGACTCAAGTAAGCAGACATGGGGGCTATCACCATAGTGGGTGTGGGTGCCAGAGGTGATGATAAGATTGGCAGCCTAACAGATTTTTATTAGCTGGCGCTACTGGGTCTGTGATGATATCATCCTTCGGAAAGGAGCCTGGGACTCACTGGGAACAACATAACCTGGTTAAGGAAAATAAAAATGTTTGGAAAGGATCATAAATAGGAAAAAAACACAAAACCCCTACTCAACAGCAGCTGATCTAGGGAAGTTGGAAAAGAAATTTTGTTGTATATTGGTTACCAGAATTAATGTCAAATGATTTATTACACTGAGCAAAGCTTAAAAAGCTACTGTAATTTGGAGGGACTCAGTGGATATGGATTTTGACCTTAATTCAGCCCTTTAGTCTCCGGATATTCTCCTTATTTGTGGGGTGGATAGAAAGAGAAAGGCTGAAGGGCCATCTTTTATTCACCTCATGCAGACATGAAGAATCTGTAAGAATTGTTGCTTTGAATCGAATACTTAGTATGGATGGAATTCTTTTTTTCTCCTCTTCCTCTTCATTTTCTTTCTTTCTTTCTTTCTTTCTTTCTTTCTTTCTTTCTTTCTTTCTTTCTTTCTTTCTTTCTCTTTTTTCTTTGTCTCTTTCTTTCTCTCTCTCTCTCTCACAATTACAAGACTCCTGGCATTTCTTACAGTCCATAACAGCAGGCTTTGAGTTTTTTTGTGATGCATTTGTATGGTCCATTTGTAGCCAGCCAGATTTCCTTTATCATTTCATTTGTCATATATTGATTGAAACAGCAACCTTCCTGACATTATGTACTCATCATACTTGGGTAAGAGTTATTCTTTGCCCCTTCATGGAAGTGTTTTATTTTGGTTCTTCTGAATTAAGATTACTCATAATCCTCATCTGTTCGAATAAAGTAATCTTTTGGTTGACCTAGCTGACCTTCTGTTCTCTAGCCAGCAAAGGAAATCATTTGTTAGTCAGGATTTCCTTTAATTTGCCTTGCTTTTTTGATCAGTGATAATATTCAGATCTTTCTCCTTTTCCCTCCTTGTAACTCTTGCATCTACAATATGAAGAGTAGAGAGACCAAAATTGGACATTAAAACAACTTAAACAACTTTGTTTTGACATGGTCTTGACTGGTTTTGTTGAGGGCTTGTTCTGAGTGGATCTAGGCAAGCTTCTTAACATTTCTGTGCCTTAGTTTTCTCATCTGTAAAATGTGATTGATTCTAGTACACAGCCCACACGATTGACGATTGTGGATATTAAGGGAGATATAATGTATTATCCATTTTCCTTCCTTTTTTTTTTTTTTTAAGAAACATGGTCTCACTCCATTGCTCAGGCTGAAGGGCAATGGTGTGATGATAGTGCATTGTATTATTCATTTTTTGATGTCTCTTTAATGTATTTAAAATGCTACTGTTTTAAGACTTTTGTAGTTGTTTATTCTGTCTGCCTGCAATGCTTTTCTCATGATACCCAAATTGTCAGCTCTCTAATTCCTTTGGGTTTTTTACCCAAGAATTTTCTTCTCAATGAGAATTTCCCTTTTCTAAAATTTTGTCTCTTCCTTAACACTTTATGGCCTTCTTCCTTGCTTTATTGTTTGTCCTTAACGTTTACTAGTAACTAATAAATTTGATATTTTATTTATTTATTATTTATTTTATTATTTATTGTTTATCGACTGTTACTTCCTCTCCCCACAAGTAGATCATGAGGTCAAGAAATTTTGTGCTCTGTTTTATTCCTAGCACCTGGGGATAACATAAATATTTGTTAAATTAATGCAATGTGCTTAGCACAGCTTAGCACATAGTAAGTACTTGTTAAGCACCACATTGTGACTGGGAGAACTTATAACACCTTCCCTCCATTTAGTATCTAAATTCTATAGCTGAATCCAAATTTGTCTATCTTTCTGGGCCCATTCAGCATTATTCTTGACAGGGTCTTCCTTCCTTAAATCCCATTTTTATGATAGCATTATCTTTTTATCTATCCTATCTTGTTCTCTGATTAGTTCATATGAGTTGGTCCGATCTTCCCAACTATTTTTGCAAGCTTCTTGTTAGCAGGAATAAATGACTCAGACTTTTTTTTTTTTGCCTATTTCCTTCAGTATAGGGGCACAGTAGATGTACATTGAATGTTGTTGCTAAATCAATCTGCATCAAGAAAATGTTAAATGACTACAGGATTTATCATTTAATTAACTAGAAACCATATAAACAATTGAATGGAGGAAAAGAAATAATCATTTTTAATGAAAAACATGCAGTAAAATGCATTTACCTGTGTGAATTATTTGCCCAGTACTTGTCTCCATCACATTAGTATGCTCTAGCTGCACTAGCCTTCTTTTCTTTTCCAAAGTTTTACTATGAAAAAAATTTGAATGTGAAAAGTTTAAAGGATTTTACAGTAATCCTTTAAACCAGTGCCAGTTCTACCACTAAAATTTTAAATCAATTGCTTTATCATATCATATATCTCTCCATCTACCCACCCTGTTATCTATTAATCCATCATATATTTTGGTGCATTTCAAAGCAAATTGCAGACATCAATACATTTCTCCTTAATTATATCAGTATATATTGAAATAGAGCTTAATATTGCAACAATCTTTCTGATTCTTTTCCAGCATAGAATTATTTTGCCTGTTTTAGAACTTCATATAAATGGAAACATATAGTATGTACTCTCTTTTGCATAAGGCTCATTCACTAAATAGTATTCTTGAGATTCATCTATGTTACTGCATGCTTATTCCTTTGAATTGCTAGATTGTATTCCATGGCATGGATGATCCCCAGTTAGTTTGTCCTTGCACCACTTGATGGATATTATAAATAAGGCTGCTATTCATACACATTTGTGTACAGAGGCTATCTTTTTTTTTTTTTTTTTTTTTTTACCTTGGATAAATACCTATAATTGAGATTTCTGAGACAGAGGGTGCACTGCCCTTCGTTTTTCTCCTCAAACATACCAAACTTTTCCCTGCATTACACTACTCTGCACTAGTTCTTTCTTTTGTCCGGAATGCTATTTTCTGTGTATGAAATACTATTGCCCCTTATTATCATGTAACTGCCTCTTTCATGCCCCTCAAATCTTAGCCTCCCCTGCCCACCCATTCTAAAGTAATCACAGTCCCTCTTAAGCATGTGACTCTGTGTTAATTAGCTGCATAGCATTTCTCATCATCCGGTAATTTTGTTTTCACTCATTATAATATAAGCTAGAGATAGGACCTGTTTACTACTATCGTTCCATAATCCAAAATGGTATACAATAGCTAGTTTTAAACAGCCTAGACTATTCTGTGGTGAAAAATAGCATAATATGTAGTAGGTACTCAATAATCATGGGATAAGGAAGCAAATAAAGAATGAACAAATAAAATCTCAATGGCTAAAACCTTACCCATCTTTTCATTTCTGTATCCTCAGTACCCAACACTAGTAAATGCCCACTATGAATTTGAGAGATGAATAAATAGGAACAGTTTCTCAGTGGGTCAGAAACACTTAAGAAAATGCAACTCTGAAAAATGTTTTCTTTCCTGTCTTGTCATGTGAAGGCAGTTAATCCAATTCCTCAAACACGTTCAATACCTGGGTTAAAATGGGTCACAGCTGGGGATTCGCAGCATCCATCCTACATGGCTTGATGTTCAGAGAGAAATTGCTAGAGGCAAACTGGAAAACATTTTTAAGCTCGTGTGAACAGACTGGCTCATTAATCTGCTGTTTAGTGGTGCTAAAATGTGTTCCTGTAGATTAGTTTTCTGGTAGTCATTCTAATTAAGGAGGTAAGGTTGAAGGAAGAAACCCTTACCTTACAGGATAGTTAGTACACACGTGGGATCAGCAATTGGCCATGGTTTTCTTGTCTTGCTCATGGATTGTTATCCAGGATGCCTGCAGCTGCATCATCAGGGGATCTTTGAGGTTCAAGGGTAGGAAACTTTAGCATTTCTATGCCTTTAAAATTCCTGGTGTGGTAGAGAGGGAAAAGAGAGAAAGAATGCCTCATGATATCTACATCCAGGTCCTTCCTTTCTCAATCTAGCTAAATGCTATGGTTTGAATCTGTCCCCCAAAGTTCATGTGTTGGAAACTTAATCCCCAATGCAACAGTGTTGGGAGGTGGGGCCTAAGAAGAGGTGATGAAGTCATAAGGGCTCTGCCCTCTTCAATGGATCAATGTCATTATCATGGAAGCAGGCAATTATAAGAGAGTTCAGCCCTCATGAAACAGCATTTTCATTATGCCACTCTCCGACTCAAAAACTTTCTACCTTTCTCTGCTGCTTGCAAGATCATGTTAACACTGCAGCCTGGCATTCAAGTACCTGCCAAATCTGGCCGCTTTGTTGCCATCAATCTAAGTTTTTAAATGTTCATACCTGTGACCATGCTGAGCATTCCACCTAAAATGTCTTTCCCATACCTATAAAAATGTTCTCCATATTGCACCTAATAAAAGAAGCTCTGGTTCTTGACTACAACAAAAGATATGAGGCTGTACATTAGTTACATTAATACTACCAATGGATTCGTGAACCTACTCTTATCTGTAAAATATATCTCTTTTTCTCTCTTCTAGGCCAGCCCTTTCATTTTATTCACATAAAGAAAAACGAGGAACAGAGAAATTTATGGGCTTGATCAACATCACATAGCTTCCAGATAGCAGAGCCAGGACTAAGGAAAACTAACTGAATATTAGATACTGAATCCTTAAGTAGACCATTTCTCAGGAGTCCCCTTTTTGTTGCTGCTTGTAGCATTAACCGTCTTCAGCTGTGTGAAGACCAGTCTCTACAGTGGGGAGGAGATGGAACTATTTGGGCTGAAGCTGGCCTGCAAAATTTGTTTCTGTGTTTAGGATAACAGCAGCTGTTGGAATGACTGAAAATTGAATTCTGGAGTGGTCTGCCCTTTCCATTATTGGTTACAAATAGACTTTTAATATCCTGGGAAGTAATTTAGAAAGTTGCAGAGATGCTGTAATCTATGGGCCTTTATATGACTATAGGTTATATCAAAACTATGGTGGAGAGAGGAACTTTTACTATACCTGAGTTAGGGGGAGGTGTTTCCAGTAATAATGCAAGTGCTAGCATTTATATGGCCCCTCCACTCCAGGCCTGTTGTTATATTATTATTTCCATGTAAGAGTTCTCAGTGTTGTCCAGTCATTCTCATTGATATGTAGGTCCTCATAATTCTTAAAGCAGATGTTCTGTACATTTTGGACTGTTTCAAAAATGCTGGTGCAAACTTTCTAGGTCTCCTGAAACTCTGGACTGCTCCATTTCTGGAAAGAAAGGCTCTTTTTCAAAGCAATATGGCCATTCCCTCATTATCCTCTCCTAACTCAGAAATCAGAACACGCCGTACAGAACTATGACAATGAAATCCCATGAGCCTGAGGATTCCACAGACACTATAGACCTATGCTGTAGCTCATAACCTGTCAGGAGAATCTGATCCAATCACATCTGGACTTTGCAACTAGATGATATCTAAGTGGAGGGACCAGATGAGTGCTGGACTGCATTAAGTACCGTCACTGCTGCTCCGCTAGGCTTGGTGGTGTGAGGATTTTCTTCTGTTCCTATCGTGGACTCTCTCTCCCCTTTCTCTCTTTTTTTTATTATTTTCTCCATTTTACTCTGACATTATTGAGTGTCTCCTTCTAGTTCTCATCTTTCTCTGCCTTCACTGTGGGCAATGACTCTTTTCCCTCCTACTTGTTGACTTTTTCATCTCCAGCTTTTCTGCCTTCCTGCCTGAGTTCACTTTATTTTTAATAGAGTTTCTCCCCTGGTTCTCTTCTTTCTCCTCCTACTCTCCATGTTCTTCCACAATCCCCCAGCTATAAATTACCCAAGGCATCCAACCTTTTGCTCTCATGGAGAAATGAATAATTAAATCTCCAAAGGAAGACACGTGGATTAAATCAGGCACTTAATTTCTTCAAAACACAGACAGCATTTTATCGTGTCCTGTGCAAATGGATGAGTCACAGCCAATTACTTCAAGAGGGAAGAAAGCTGAGGTTTGGCTTGATCAACAGCATATATTTTTTTAAATGGATTGTGCTAGTGAATGTCAGATATTGCACAGGAATGACACTTCTAAATTCAGTAGCATGAGCCATGGAGTCCTAACTGTGATGCATGTGATAGTGATAGAGTTTACTGACCAAGGGGTGTTGGTCATTTCTTTGATATAATGAAATACTGCAAGTTCGGAGCTCTTCCTTGCTAAATATGCTGCAGTGGCAATTCATTTGTTAGAAATCATCTGGTTGACAAACCAGGGAATAGAGATTCTCTTAGGGACCACATCGAGATAATAGACTTGTGAGACTTGAGTAGTAAGTGCTCAGAAAGTAGTCATCATGTACTATGTAGATGATTTCTCAGGAATAGGTAGTCCATGAAGGAGGTTGGGAAGATTCCCATGATGTCAACTGCTAGGCAGTCGCCAGGCTAAATGGTTCCCTCTGGCTTTCTTCATTTTACTGGCTTTCAGGCTTTCCAAGTACTGGCTGGTTTGCTTTCAGAGTGGTCTCATTTCATGGTGTCTTTTCTCACACTGAGGCATCTTGCTCAGGTAGTGGCCGAGTAAGTACAGGTGTCAGGATCTGCTCTCATGGTCGGATGCAATGTTTTGTGAATGGAGTTCCTGAAGAAAAGTGAAGAAGCATTATAAACTTGGATACTGGGAAGCAAAAGGCCTCCACAGAACCTTGAAGGGGGGTTATCTTTTAGAGACACATGAGAAAAGGCCTGGATACTGGAGTTAGAAAGAATAAACATACACAAACTTAAAGAGATAATGATAATATTATAGAAATATCTAAGTCCTGGCTCAACCCATGAAATAGCTATGTGTTGGAACTTCCTTAAATGAACAGGTGTGTGAGTGTGTGAGAGTGTGTGTGTTTGTGTGTGTGAATTCTGATTTGAGAACAGATAAAATTAAAACTCTACAGCTGGGCATGGTGGCTCATGCCAGCATTTTGGGAGGCAGGGGTTGGAGGATCGCTTGAGCCCAGGAGTTTGGGACCAGCCTGGGCAATATAGCAAGATCCCCTCTCTACAGAAACAAACAAACAAACAACAAGACCCTTTATGTTACCTCCTAGAGGTAGGAGTCAAGGAAGAGAGGCACCTTAAAAGTTGAACAGGAAAGAGAGCAATACATTTTTATTAAAAAATTGTTTGGCATAGCAAGGATTCAAGACCCTGTCTCTAAAAGGAAAAAAGTATTTGGAAGCATATGCTTTTGGTTACTTCTCTTTTAACATTGATTAAATGCTTTTCTGTACAAGTGACAGTCTCATTATAGAAAAGGTTTTTAAAAATCTGTTTTATCCATCTCCCCAGTGTATATGCTACTCTAAAAGTTTACGTCCTTTGGGAGGAGTAGGTGCTATTTTAAGTAATTACTTGCTTTAATGTATTCAGACCTTAGAGATGGCTTCAGGGCCCAGTACATAGGGTTCTCCCAAAGAAATACACAAACCTTCAAAAGAATTTAATTAATTTATGTTACCTGAACTTTGAAGGGCTGGAAGTGAAAAATCACACTAACATTGCACTTCTCAGACTTTAATATGCATATAAATTGAATTGCCTGGAGAATTTGTTAAAATGCAGATTCTCCTTCAGCAGGTCTTGAGCAGCTGCCAGATGGTGCAGCTGCTCCTGCTGGTCCATGAACCTTACTTTGAGAAGCAAGAAGCTGACATTTCAAAGTGTAATTTCATTATACTTGAAGTTTGGGGTTATCTTTTATTTCTCTTACGTAAGTTTATATTTTACAAAATATAACTAAAAAACTCACCTTACTGATACTTTTGGTTGGAACTGCATTGATTCTACACAATATTAAATCTTCCAATCCATGAAGTTGAGTTATACATCTTCATTTGTTCAGGTCTTTAATTTTTCTCATTAGTAGTTTTTACAGCATATGAATCTTGTACATATCTTGCTAGATGCAGACTTTCATCTTTCATGCTGATCTAGATTTTACCTAGATTTAGATTTTACATTTCTGGTGCCATTATAAATAGTACTTTTGCAAAATGCAAATTTTCCATTCCATAGCTAATATATAGAAATGTCATTGATTTTTGTGTATTGTCTTTCTACAATGCAACTTTGCTAAGCTCACTTAGTTCTAATGGCCTTTTTGTAGACTTCTAGGATTTTCTATGTAAATAATCATTTTATTTGAGGACAGAGACAGCATTGTTTCTTGTTTCTTCCTAATTTGTATGTCTTTTTCTTGTATTTTTGCACTAGTAAAGATCTCTACTCCGATATTGAATGGGACTGTCTTACTGGTATTTTTAAAGCTTGGGATATTATTCCAAGCAATAATTAGAGAAATGTAAAGTTAGTATCTTAAATTGAGAGCATTACCTATTAACACATCTTTGAGTATTTTTTATTAATAGTTACAATGGTGCAAAAGAGAATTTTTCCTGTGGGTTAGAAAACTTTCTAGAGCTCATCTTCTACCAAGGGCTTTGATTCTGCTTCTGCTGCACTTTAGGATGTTGGTCTTATGCAGAACCCATGTTTTCACAGACAAAGTCATGAAAGTGAATGTAAGAACTTTAGTTTCTAAAGCTATGCTTTTTTTTTTTTTTTTTGCCACTCCTGCACACGAAATCAGGGTGTTTTCTGCTTGAGTGACCCAGAGTTGAATAGTTTTAAGTAATAATATTTCTCCATGATCATCTTTTGCTTTTTCAAAAGAATGCTAGTCAAGAAATTAAGATTTCAAGTTTCCTGTATCCTCTTTAAAGGTCCTGAACCTGGACAGCATTTATCAATCTACTTAACTTCACATAGCAAAGGAATTCATCAAAATATTCTTCCTTTTGAACGTTAGTGCCACTTGTGATACTTTCATGAGTGAAGTGATAGAGAACAGAACGATTTTTTATGGACCTAACTCCTTATTGCAAGGTAATGCAATTCTTCATTCTCTAGGTCTGCTGAAAAGCAAGTTTGCTGAAAAGCAAATCATGTGCCTTATCCTCCATTATCTCTTCAACCTCCATTATCTTTGTATTAGTCCATTCTCATGCTGCTAATAAAGACATACCCAAGACTGGGTAATTTATAAAGGAAAGAGGTTTAATTGACTCACAGTTCAGCGTGGCTAAGGAGGCCTCAGGAAACTTACAATCATGGCAGAAGGGGAAGCAAATGTGTCCTTCACATAGCAGCAGGTAGCAGAAGTGTTGAGCAAGGAAGGAAAAGCCTCTTATAAAGCCCTTAGATCTCGTGAGAACTCACTCACTATCACTAGAATGGCATGGGAGTAACTGCCTCCATGATTAAATTACCTCCCACCAGGTCCCTCTGACAACACATGGGGATTATGGGAACTACAATTTAAGATGAGATTTGGGTGGGGACACAGCCAAACCATATCATTCTGCCTCTGGCCCCTCCCAAATCTTATGTCCTCACATTTCAAAACACAATCATGCCTTTCCAACAGTCCCCCATGTCTTAGCTCATTCCAGCATTAACCCAAAAGTTCAAGTCCAAAGTCTCATCTGAGATAAGGGAAGTCCCTTCCACCTATGAGCCTGTAAAACTAAAAGCAAGTTAGTTACTTCCTAGATACAATGGGGATACAAACATTGGAACCATTCCAAATGGGAGAAATTGGCCAAAACAAAGGGGCTACCGGCCCCATTCAAGTCCAAAATCCAATAGGGCAGTCATTAACCTTAAAATTCCGAAATGATCCCCTTTGACCCCATGTCTCACACCCAGGTCATACTAATGGAAGAGGTGGGCTCCCACAGCCTTGGGAAGCTCTGTCCCTGTGGCTTTGCAGGGTACAGCTCCCTTCCAGCTGCTTTCACAGCTTGTGTGTCTGAGGCTTTTCCAGCTGCATGGTAAAAGCTGTCAGTTGATCTACAATTCTGGAGTCCTGATGATGGTGGCCCTCTTCTCACAGCTCCACTAGGCAGAGCCCCACTGAGGACTCAGTGTAGGGATTCCAACCCCACATTTCCCTTCCTTACTGTTGTAGCAGAGGTTCTCCATGAGGGCTCCACCCCTGCAGGAAACTTCTGCCTAGATATCCAGGCATTTCCATACCTCCTTTGAAATCTAGGCAGAGGTTTCCAATTCTTGTCTTCTGTGCATCTGTAGGACAAACACCACATGGAAGCTGTGAAGTCTTGGCACTTTCACCCTCTGAAGCCACAGCCTGACCTGTACCTTGGCCCCTTTTAGCCACAGCTGGAGCTGAAGCAGCTTGGACATGGCAGGGTACCATATCCTAAGGCTGCACAGAGCAGGAGGCCCAGCCTAGGAAACAATTTTTCCCTCCTAGACCTCTGGGCCTGTGATGGGAGGGGTTGCCATGAAGGTCTCTGACATGCCCTGGAGACATTTTCCCCATTTTCTTGGTGATTACTTACTCAAATTTCTCCAGTGGGCTTGAATTTCTCCCCAGAAAATGGATTTTTCTTTTCTATCGCATTGTCAGGTTGCAAATCTTCCAAACTTTAATGTTCTGCTTTCTCTTGAATGCTCTGCCACTTAGAAATTTCTTCCACTAGATATCCTAATCATTTCTCTCAAGTTCAAAGTTCCACAGATCTCTAGGGCAAGGCAAATGCTGCCAGTCTCTTTGCTAAAGCATAGAAAGAGTCACCTATGCTCCAGTTCCCAACAGTTCCTCATCTCCATTTTAGACCACCTTAGCCTGGATTTCATTGTCCATATCATTATCAGCATTTTGGTTGAAACCATTCAACAAGTCTCCAGGAAGTTTCAAACTTTCCCACATCTTCCTGTCTTCTGAGTTCTCCAATTCTCTAGGAAGTTCCAAACTTTCCCACATTTTTATGTCCTCTTCTGAGCCCTCCAAACTCTTCCAACCTCTGCCTGTTACCCAGTTCCAAAGTTGCTTCCATCGTTATAGCCATGCCCTACTCCTTCAGCACCAATTTACTGTATTAGTCCATTCTCAAACTGCTAGTAAAGACATACGAGAGACTGGGTAATTTATAAAGGAAAGAGGTTTAATTGACTCACAGTTCGGCATGGGGAAGGAGGCCTCAGGAAACTTACAATCACGGTGGAAGGGGAAGCAAACATATTTTTCTTCACGTGGCAGCAGAAAGGAGAAGTGCTGAACAAAGGGGGGAAAGCCCCTTATAAAACCATCAGATCTTGTGAGAATTCACTGTCACAAGAAAGCATGGGAGTAACTTCCCCCGTGATTCAGTTACCTCCCACCAGGTCCCTCCCATGACACATGGGGATTATGGGAATTATAATTCAAGATGAGATTTGGGTGGGGACACAGCCAAGCCATATGAATCCTCCCTTTTTCCTTCAACAATGGATATCCTGGACAAATAAGTTACACTAGGACAGAAAAAGAAAGGGACACCAACGATTATTCCAATAAATTTTTGAAGTATACAGTTCCAAATCAGGTATTTATTTTATTGTAAAAGATCAAGAAAATGAAAATAATCCAAGTCTTTTCATATTTTATTCTATACGTATTATGTTGTCAAGTCATATAACATTTGTCTTACGTATTTTATTGAATATGTACTTGAAATGCTTCATACAATATAATTGTTATTGTGTTTACTGGGGGCAGGGGGTGTTTAAAAAAAAGAAAAAGAACCAAAAACAACATTTATTCTACACATAACACACACATAAAACATTTATTCCACCTCTACATAACAATAGTTGTTTAGACTTAGGCACTAAAAAATTGGCTAGAACTCAAAACTCAACTCAGTCCTTGAACCAATAATTTTTTAGTAAAATAACCTATAGCCTGCACAATCATAATTTAGATAGTGAAAATTATTCTTTCGTAAAACTAAACTTACTGATTGTATCTTTTCTTTTAGAGAATTAAATATAGATAAATCTTTCTATCTTGGAGATGTGGTCATATAAGTTTACAGAGACTTGTATGACACACAAAATGATAAATGAAGATACATTATTTTAAATGTCTCTTCTGTTTTACAAAGTTACCAGTGAAACAATGGGCATTGCAATTCACCTGAAGAGAATGTGGGCTTTGGCTACAAATTCACAATAATCCATTATTTTCATTATGCCCATAGTCCAGCAACATTCCCCTTCCAAATGGAGCTTCCTGCCTTTCCTTCAATGGCTTCCCAGAGCCCATGCGTTACATTTAAGCCTCTTTAGTCCAGAATTCTGGGCCCTTCATGCTTGGTTATAAGCTTGCTCACCCTGGTCTCACCAGAACGTTATTCTCACTGTACTACTACGTGTTTCCCAAAATCTGAAAGCAATTTTGCTTTTTGATATTTTTGACATGGTGTTATCTTGGACTGGACATGCTTTCTCCACCCGTAAAATTTGGATTTATTCCTCACCTATCACCACCTCAAATTACATTGTTTTAATAAGCGCTTTCTTGTCTCCCAGTGAGAGAAAATATGTCATTCTTTTGGCTTTCACAAAAGTTGCTTCTCTCTCTTTTCAGCATTAATTTCATTCTATCTTGAATTTTCTTTGGTTCTTCTCATATCTGTTTTCCTGGTAGAATACAGCACCATGAGGGTAGGACTCTTGGTTTACAGGTTCCCAAACTTGCGCAATTCTTTGGCCATTGTTACTGCTCAAGAAGAAATTTTTAATACATGTATTTGTAGTTAAAGCCTCTGTTTACTCACCTACAGTGTTTGATGAGAGCTTAATGTTTGATATTCCAAAGCGGTATTTTATGCTTGAAACAATCTATGCTACCTGAAAGCCTTTAGGGGCACTTAGTTGACCTACAGGGACTCCAGTAAACTCTAAACTCCTATATTTTCACGTTGAATCTGATCTCAATAGCCACCAAAAGGTTTTATTTCTTTTAGAAGGATAATAATGCAATAATGCATCCAGGTCTGCTTCTTATCTCCTAGAGGTCATGTTCATCATCTGCCACCCTTTGTGTGGCACCTGAGAGTCATTCAGACAGGTGGGCTTTGAACACACCTTTAAAATGCATCACTCTGAGAAGTAAAATCAGCAATGGCAAAACAGCAGTGCACACAATTATAAGCAGTTTCCTAAGCATGTATCTCTATATAACATAGTCAACTATTAGTTTATGAGTCCTAAAGGGAAGAAAGAGGGGAAATGCATAGAAAAGAATAATTTGTATTTAACTTTTGAGCTTTGGGGTCTTTATGTCCACAGTGAAACATAAGTGGGCCTGGCATTACAGTGATCCAGGTTTATGTGAATCTAGCTCTTCCTCAGCTATGCTGACCATGGAAAAAGAGGTATCATTGTCAAACATTTTTTAATTTGTGGATTTATTTATAAATCTTATATTTGGAAAACTATGTTAACTAAAAAATAAATTTACATAAAATTGAGATTATTCTGGTAAGCCTGGAGAATACGGAAACAATAAGGACAGTGTTCCTCCCCATTTTTGTGCATGACACCCTGATTTTTACAGGTGTGCAAGTGAGAACACTCAAAGTCATCTTTGACTCCTTTGTAGTCAATCAACTATCAAGATTTGTCTATATTCCTACATGAATATCCGTAAACTAGGCCCATTTCTGTCTCCATAGCTATTGCCCTCATCCAAGCTAATATCATCTCTCTTTTGGTCTACTAGACTGACCCTCTTTCTGGCCGCTCTCCAACTGGCTCACCACAATGCAGTTAGAGTGATCTTTTTAAAAATGCAAATCTGATTATGCCACTCTCCTGCTTAAGCCCTTTCAAAGGCTTCCCATTGCTCTTAAGACAAAGACCAGAATCCTTAACCTGGCTCATCAAGCCCTGCTTTCTCCGGCCCCTATATGGATCAGTGACCTCATTGTTTACTGCTAACTGTCACTTCTCACTTTCCAACCATATTGACCTTCTTTCAACAACTCAACTTCACCCTGTTCTTATAGCATGTATCTCATTTGGGATGAGTAAATATATGTGTGTTTTATGGTCTAATATCCATAAATCCTGGGGGAAGGGGAACAAGCATTTTCCCTGACTTGTTCATGTCTGTGTCACCTACTCATAGCACATGGCAGAGACTCACTATGGTATTTGTAATTAATGAATAAATGTATCACACTAACTATTTGCCCTCAGTAGACTGTGGCTTCCTAAAGGAAGCCAAATGCTTATTCATGGACCTAATATTCAACAGCCCTGTGCTTGGCACATTATAAGCACTGGGTAAACATTTATAGCAAATCGACTTGTAAGTCACCCTGACACTAGTCTAGAGCCTTGAGACTCAAAGTAAGATCAGATGCTATCGAGCATCAGAATTGCTTGGGAACGTGTTAGAAATCTAGACCATCAGAACCTACATGGGTTCTGCATTTTTCCCCCAGTTTCACTATTTTGTTGTGTAAAGTATACTAATCTAAAAGTGTACAACTTGGCTGGGCATGGTGCCTGGTATTTATTCTAATCCCAGCACTTTGGGAGGCCAAGGGGGGTGGATCACGTGAGGTCAGGAGTTCGAGACCAGCCTGGCCAACATGGTGAAGCCCTGTCTCTACTAAAAATACAAAAAATTAGCTGGGTGTGGTGGTGCATGCCTGTAATCCCAGCTACTCAGGAGGCTGAGGCAGGAGAATCGCTTGAACCTGGGAGACGGAGGTTACAGTGAGCTGAGATCATGCCATTGCCCTGCAGCCTGTGTGACAAGAGCCAAACTCTGTCTCAAAAAAAAAAAAAAAATCTGTACAACTTAATTTGTAAAGTGTACTAACCTAAAGTGTACTACTTATTGTGTCAATTTTGTTACCTTTTCCCACATCAAATGTAGAACATTTCCAGCACCAAAGAGGTTTTCCTTCTTCTTTTCAGTCAATACTCTCCCAGAGGCAACCACTGGTTTTACTTCTACTATCGTTAATTAGCTTATTAGCTTTTCATGTTCTTGAACTTACAAAATACCACTATTTTTTACTTAATATTTTCAGAGTCTGAATTTTCACAAATCACCCACAAATCACACATTTGAATATGTGCACATTCAAATTTGAGAAGTGTTTTTATGGAGCATTCATTCTCACTGCTGGCTGCACATTGATATCAACTGATGCCTAAGTACCACTTCCAGAGATTCTGATTTAATTGGCCTTGAGTGAGGACTGGACATCAGGACTTTTTGAAAATTCTTAGGGGATTGTAATATGCAGCTGAAATTTAAAAACACTGTTCTGTCTATCCTTAAGTTCTTTGTTTTTTTTTTTTTGTTTGTTTGTTTTTGTTTTTTTTTGTTTTTTTTTTTTGAGACCGAGTCTCGCTCTGTCGCCCAGGCTGGAGTGCAGTGGCGCAATCTTGGCTCACTGCAACCTCCGCCTCCCGGCTTCTAATTTTTTATATTTTTAGTAGAGACTGGGTTTCACCATGTTAGCTAGGATGGTCTCGAACTTCTAACCTCGTGATCCGCCTGCCTGGCCTCCCAAAGTGCTGGGATTACAGGCGTGAGCCACCGGGCCCAGCCTCCTTAAGTTCTATGTTGCACAATTCCTCCTGTCTCTGATCCATGCTAGGAGAGAACAGTCGTTACCTCTCAGAATAAAGCAGATCTTGCCTAGAGCAGATTTGCCTGCTTTTTTGTTTGTTTGCTGCTTTTCTCATCTCTTATCTTCCCTAGAACCTAAAGGAGATGCACTTAAGCCATTAGGTTGTTGCTCTCATCATCCTGTGGGAACAGTGGTGTGCTAGAGCTGACCCATACTGGCTTGTGAGGGCAGATTGTGTGCTTCCAACTATATACAATGTCATTCAAATTATTCAATGACATCATGTTGGTAGCTTGAACTTGGCCATGGTGGGAATATTTACACAACAGAAATTGGCAAACACTACCAATCAGGTTCTGTTTCCTCCCTGACTTCCTCCTAGAGAGCTGGTTTGCCATTACACACCCCCTATAGGTAAATACTGCTAAGGAGAAGGGCTTAATCTGGTTAAAGCAGTTGTAAAATGATCTTTCAGTAGTCTTCTCAAGCGATGACTTTTCCTAACCTCAAATTTACCATTTAGCAGTTACTAATATGTTTAAATAATGTTTTCAATGCATCTACTCCTTTGGGAAATATAAAAAGATGGATATAATTATCGTATTTCTTCCATCCATCTTGGTTGAAAACCCTTAGAATTATTTCCAATAGTCACTATTGTCTGATCTTGTTTAGGCCATCATCCCATTATGCTAAGTCCATGGGCAAACATAACAGGATGATGGCCTAAACAAGACCAGACAATTATCCCATCATCAGTGTTGTGCTCAGTACATGGACTAGGTAGCAGAAATCAGTGATAGCTTTTATTACAGCATCTCACTTAAGGTTTTTCATTGAATATAGTATTCCCTTGGAGTTGATGGGCATATGACTTAATTGGTTTCAATTGGTCATTGAATTCCACTGATTACGAAGTGATCCAATATATTTTTTATTTTGTATATAAACCTGTGGGGCAGCACTGAAAAAGAACTTATGATTCTCAGTGTTTAAAATAAGATCTGGAGTCAGATAAACCTGTTTTTGAATCTTGGCTCTTCTACTCCTATTTGGGCAATCATAGGCAAATTATAATGTCTGTAAGTTCCATGTTTCTCATCTTTAAAATGGGTATTAAAAATAGCTTGCAGGATTATCCTGAGGATTAATTAACATAAAACAGAAATGCACTAAGCTTCTAACATGATGCATAGTAAAACACTTAATATCTTTGGTTGGGTCCCCAGGAGCAGACTCCAAGACAAGGATTTGGGTGCAAGTAGTTTGAGAGGTTGTTATAGACTGATGTGTCCCTTTCAAAAAACTGATATGTTGAAATCTTAATCCCCAATGTGATGGTATTAGAAGGTAGGAACTTTGGGAGGTAATTTAGGTGATGAGGGTAGAGTCTTCATGAATGGGATTAGTGCCCTTACAAAAGACAACTTAGAGGGCTCTCTAACTCTTTCTGTCATGTGAGGACACAATGAGAAGTTGACACTCTGCAACTTGGAAGGGAGCCCTCACAATGCTGGCATCCTGATCGCAGACTCTCAGTATCCAGAACTTTGAGAAGTAAATTTCTGTTGTTTATAAGTCATGCAGTCTATGGTAATTTGTCATAGCAGCCCAATATAAGACAGAGGTCACCCCAGGAAATACTGGTAGTAGATGGAGAAGTCAGACAAGAAAGAGAAGAAAGCCAACAAGGAGTGGATTACCACACACATTTGCATTGTGAGTAATTGGAGCTTAATCTTACTGGGGAACTCTGAGAACCAATGTGGAAGATAGACCTCAGAGGTATCTCCCTAGAAGACAGAAGAAACTGAGGTATTAATCTACCAACTCCTATCAGTCATCAATTCTTAATTCTCTGGCACTACAACCTTCCATGTATATGAGCAGAGAAGGATCCAGTGACCAGAACAAGCCCTTAAGGAAAGTGATGTAGGTGATACAGTTGGAAGATGGGCCAGCATATGCAAAAATCGTTCAGGGAAAAAGGGACATAGGCAGGCACTGATATCTATAGTAGCTCAATAAACACTTGATAGCAGTAGCTATATATGGGAGGGTTTTCATGCCAGAAGCTTGTTTACACATCAACTACTTTGATAGAGGTGGGGGAGAAGAGTTAAAGCAGCATTAGTTCATCTCCTAAGGTTTGTCCCAGCTCTAATATTTACAAATATCTCATGGTGTATTTCTTTCTGTATGCACAAGCACTGCTCTTTTTGGTGAATTAAAATCACAAGAAACCCTTATGCAGTTTTACTTTTAATAATGGGAAACGGTACTGTTGTAACCATTAAATTCTAATATGATAAAAGATAAGTTTATCTAGAGGCAGTGCAGTTCAGTGTAAAGACCACAGGATGAAGAGTTAGGAGATCTTTGTGGAGTCTTTACTCAGTCACTTACCATTTGTGTGGCCTCTTAAAGGAGTAAAAATCTACAAGTCTCAACTGAAAGGAAAACATTACCTGCCTAGCTAATGTGTTATAGTGAGAGCACATGGAACAATGCTTTGAAGAGGAGTTGTCTCAGATGCTGAGCTCTACATAGGAGCAGTCAAGTTTTCTACCAGTCAGAAGGGCAAAATGCTTCTGGTTGCTTTTGGCAGGAGTACTGAATTCACTGTAAGGCTTGATGATTACCTTGTGCTTCTCCCATATCCACAGCACTGAAGTAATTTGTGATTTGAAGACACAGTGACTCTCTTGGGGCACATTAGACACATAGATGTAAATCAATTGATTCCAAGGATTCTGTGCAGCTGTTGTCTTCGATGGATATAGTGGCTGCAACTGCCTGTTTCAGTTTCCTCCTGGAAAACTCTTGATATCAGTCTCTGACATCTTGGAGTATTTCTTTGGCTCCACAGACATTAAGGAAAATCATCTATAGAAAATATTTATATAATTTTATCTTTGCTTGTTCTCAAATCCAAGGGATGATCATGCCAAAATTTTAGGAGTGAAATATGTCTTTGCCCACAGTGTGCCTACCACTTTATAAATTATACCCTTATACAAAGTATTGGTTTTGAATTTTGGAACTAATTATAACTAGGTAAATGCTTAACTGGAAGACTTTGGAATTTCATGAAATCAGTGCCTTTAAAGTTATGCACTTTAAAGAGATCTTTTTGTATTAATTAGGATATCCAGTAAGTCTTTTTGTGCAGCTCCACGTCGTAGCAAGGAATTTATAATATGTATGTATTTTAAAGATGCATGTGGCATTCTAGCAATTACACAGTCTCAGTGTGATATAAGTGTAAATTAGTCTTACCAGATTCTGTATTTAAAATTGTAGTGTAAAACTATATACATTTTAAGGGTGAATCCTACTGTTAGAGAAAAATAATTGCATCAATTTTCAATAAACTTTGACAAATATGGAATTAATCTAAGTTAACTACTAAGACCCTAAACTTAAGTACCTGAGAACTTAGATATTTACAAGGTAATGGTTATTAATCAGAAAGCCTAAAACTTATAAAAATATCATTCAGTATTAGTGTTCTTATAGTATTTTCTAGTTTCAATTTTTAGACAAAAATTTTGGTAACATAATTTGGAAAATAAAAATGATGAAGTAATTAAATGTACTAAAAGATAATTGTCTCATCTTTTTTTCTTTAAAGATTTTGTTTGCTCATGTCAATGTTATCTATCACTTTAATAGAAGCATAAACTTTAGAGCATCCATGATGATAATGTAGGCAGAATATTTTTAGATAGTATTTCATATATATGTAATTTATTGTAAGCCAATTTAAAGTTTCCTTATTATAAGCCAATTTAAAGTATTTCATATATATGTAATTTATTATAAGCCAATTTAAAGTTTCCAATTAAAGTGAAATATATTTCACACACATAATAAAATAAATCTTGATCTTTCTAAAAAAATCAATATGTACTTTCTTATGTGTAAACAAAAAAATTCATGCAAGTAAATCACAATAATATACCACCAATGACTCTGGCAATAAAGCACACAAATAATAAAGTAAAAGTTATGACCTTCCATTAACCGTAAACACTAATCCTGGTAAAGGGGATGAGAAATTGTTTATAATAACTCAGCACATAATAACTGCATTTGAGAAACCAATTACTGCTTTTATATGGCTTCAGTTTCTCAGTCTAGCACTTCATTTTTGCAATAAAGGACCTGAGTACATTTGCATCCAGTGCACAAAAGGTGTGCAATGAATAACTGCAGTTTAATTGGGCTCTTAAGAATTCTGATATCTTCATTAACTTATTTCATGACAAATGTATTTATATCTTTGCAACTGTTTTTACTGAATTATATACATAAATTTTTTAACCAGTTTAAAATGGCTCATCTGTTAAGAGATCTGAATGCATAAAGTTTTAGTAGTAAGACAATTTATCTTGATAAATGAAGTCAAGCAATGTAGATTTAGCAAGGTTCCAGAGCTTTCAGTGATCATACAGTGGACCTTTAAAGAAACATAAAAAGAAGAGGTTCGATCATAATGGCAGAAGGGAGGCAGGACTAGATTGCAGCTCTGGACAGAGCAGTGTGCGGGGGCTCATATTGTGAGTTTTAGCTCCAAATTGACTGCAAGAACAAACCAGCGATCCCCAGAGGACCCACAGACCCTCTGAAGAAAGGGGTCTGCTCCTGCAGGACCTGGGAGACATCCCCAAAACTGTGAGTGATCCAAGTGGGAAAGGGAGACCCTCCTCTCCCAAACACACACTCCTACTGGAGAAGCTGAAGGTCTGTTTGTGGGAGAAGTTTCCGACTTTACTTGGAGCTGAGTCAATTTGGAGAGCTGAGTGAAATACAGGGGTAGAGGAAGCAGCAGAAAGGCCCTGGGAGCTTGCTGGGTCTCCTAGCAGGCCACTCCTGCCTGGCACCACAGTGATCCAACGCGAGATGAGCACTGGGTAAAACTACACGGGGAGAAGCATATCTATAGCTCAACTTTGTAACAATTTGAACTGGATGAGAAGCCTTCTGGCCAGAACTCGGGGGAGGGCACAAATCTGGTGTGCAGGCTCCACAGGCAGGGGAAGAACCAAGCCCTTTGGAGTGAGACTGGCTCTTCAGTTTGTGTGGGAGCTGGGTGAAGCCTGTGACTGCCAGCTTTCCCCCACTTCCCTGACAACCTGCGTGACTCAGAAGAGGCGGCCATAATCCGCCTACATACACAACTCCAGTGACTTGGGAATCTCACCCCCATTCCCCACAGCAGCTGCAGGAAGACCTGCCCAAGGAGAGTCTGAGCTCAAACATGCCTAGCCCCACCCCCACCTGATGGTCCTTCCCTACCCACCCTGGTAGCAGAAGACAAAGGGCATATAATCTTGGGAGTTCTAGGGCCCCACCCACCACCGGTTCCTCCCCATTCTACCACAGCTGATGCTCTCTGGAAAGCGCCACCTCCTGACAGGAGGCCAACCAGCACAAAAATAAAGCATTGAACCACCAAAGCTAAGAACCCTCACAGAGTCCATTGCATCCCCCACCACCTCCACTGGAACAGGCTCTGGTATCCACCACTGAGAGACCCATAGACGGTTCACATCACAAAACTCTGTGCAGACAACCCCCAGTACCAGCTCAAAACTGGGTAGACTTGCTGGGTGGCTAGACCCAGAAGAGAGACAACAATCACTGCAGTTTGGCTCACAGGAAGCCGCATCCATAGGAAAAGGGGGAGAGTACTACAACAAGGGAACATCATGTGGGACAAAAGAATCTGAAGAACAGCCTTCATCCCTAGACCTTCCCTCTGACAGAGCCTACCCAAATGAGAAGGAACCAGAAAACCGTGGTAATATGACAAAACAAGACTCATGAACACCCCCAAAAATCACACTAGTTCACCAGCAATGGAACCAAACCAAGAAGAAATCCCTGATTAACCTGAAAAAGAATTCAGGAGGTTAGTTATTAAGCTAATCAGGGAGGGACCAGAGACAGGTGAAGCCCAGTGCAAGGAGATCCAAAAAATGATACAAGAAGTGAAGGGAGAAATATTCAATGAAATAGATAGGTTAAAGAAAAAACAATACAAAATTCAGGAACTTTGAGCACACTTTTAGAAATGTGAAATGCTCTGGAAAGTCTCAGCAATAGAATTGAACAAGTAGAAGAAAAAAATTTAGAGCTCAAAGACAAGGTCTTCAAATTAACCCAATCCAACAAAGACAAAGAAAAAAGAATAAGAAAATATGAACAAAACCTCCAGGAAGTCTGGGATTATGTTAAACAATCAAACCTAAGAATAATTGGTGTTCCTGAGGAAGAAGAGAAATCTAAAAGCTTGGAAAACATATTTGGGGGACTAATAGAAGAAAGCTTCCCTGGCCTTGCTAGAGATCTAGACATCCAAATAAAAGAAGCAAAAAGAACACCTGGGAAATTCATCCAAAAAGATATTCACCTAGGCACATTTTCATCAGGTTATCCAAAGTTAAGATGAAGGAAAGAATTTTAAGAGCTGTGAGAGAGAAGGACCAGGTAACATGTAAAGGAAAACCTTTCAGATTAACAGCAAATTTCTCAGCAGAAACCATACAAGCCAGAAGGGATTGAGGCCCTATCTTCTGCCTCCTCAAACAAAACAATTATCAGCCAAGAATTTTGTATCCAGCAAAACTAAGCATCATATATGAAGGAAAAATATAGTCTTTTTCAGACAGACAAATGCTGAGAGAATTCACCATTACCAAGCCACCCCTACAAGAACTGCTAAAAGAGCTCTAAATCTTAAAACAAATCCTGGAAACACATCACAACAGAGTCTCTTTAAAGCATAAATCACACAGGACCTATAAAACAAAAATACAAGTTAAAAAGGAAAAAAAAAACTCAAGATACATGGGCAACAAACAGCATGATGAATGCAATGGTACCTCACATTTCAATACTAACATTAGATGTAAATGGCCTAAATGCTCCACTTAAAAGATGCAGAGCTGCAGAATGGATAAAAAGTCACGAACCAACCATCTGCTGCCTTCAGGAGACTCACCTAACATATAAGGCCTCACATAAGTTTAAAGTAAAGGGGTGGAAAAAGGCATTTCATGCAAATGGACACCAAAAGCGAGCAGGAGTAGCTATTTTATCAGACAAAACAAACTTGAAAGCAACAGCACTTAAAAGAGATGAAGAGGGACATTACATAATGGTAAAAGCCTTGTCCAACAGGAAAATATCACAATCCTAAACAGATATGCACCTAACACTGGAGCACCCACATTTAGAAAACAATTACTAATAGACCTAGGAAATGAGATAGACAGCAACACAATAGTAGTGGGAAACTTTAAGACTCCACTGACAGCATTAGACATGTCATCAAGACAAAGTCAACAAAGAAACGATTTAAACTATATGGAACAAATGGACTTATAGATAGACATATACAGAACATTTCATCCAACGACTGCAGAATACACATTCCATTCAACAGTGAGTAGAACTTTCTCTAAGACAGACCATATGAAAGGCCATAAAATAAACCTCAATAAATTAAAAAAATTGAAATTATATCAAGCACTCTCTCAGACCACAGTGGAATAAAACTGGAAATCAACTCCAAAAGGAACTTTCAAAACCATGCAAATACTTGGAAATTAAATAACCTGCTCCTGAATGAGCATTGGATCAAAAACAAAATTAAGATGAAAACTAAAAAATTCTTCAAACTGAACAACAATAATGACAATCTGTCAAAACCTCTGGGATACAGCAAAGGCAGTGCTAAGAGGAAAGTTCATAGCCCTAAAGGCCTACATCAAAAAGAATTAAAGAGCACAGACCGACACTGTAAGGTCATACCTCAAGGGGCTAGAAAAACAGGAACAAACCAAACCCAAACCCAGCAGAAGAAAGAAAATAACCAAGATCAGAGCAGAACTAAATGAAATTGAAACAAAAAAATACAAAAGGTAAATGAAACAAAAAGCTGGTTCTTTAACAAGAGATATAAAATTGATAGACCATTGGCAAGATTAACCAAGAAAAGAGGAGAGTGGATAAAGAAACTGTGGCATATATATATATATATATTTATATATATTTATATTTATATAAATAAATATATATAAATATATAAATATATATAAATATATATAAATATATAAATATATATAAATATATATATAAATATATATAAATATATAAATATATATATACATATATATAAATATATATATAAATATATAAATATATAAATATATATATAAATATATATAAATCTATATAAATATATAAATATATATAAATATATAAATATATATAAATATATATAAATATATAAATATATATAAATATATATAAAATATATATAAATATATATATTTATATAAATATATATAAATATGTAAATTTATTATATATATTATATATAATAATTATAAATATATTATATATATTTACATATTTATATATATTTATATATTTTATATATATTTATATAAATATATATATTTATATATATTTTATATATATTTATATATATATTTATATATATTTATATATATTTATATATATTTATATATATCTATGATGGAATACTATGCAGCCATAAAAAAGGAATGAATTAATAGCATTTGCAGTGACCTGGATGAGATTAAAGGCTATTATTCTAAGTGAAATAACTCAGGAATGGAAAACCAAACATCGTATGTTCTCACTGATATGTGGGAGCAAAGCTATGAGGATGCAAAGGCATAAGAATGACACAGTGGACTTTGGGGACCTAGGAGGAAGAGTGGGAGGGGGATGAGGGATAAAAGACTACAAATATGGTGCAGTGTATACTGCTTGGGTGATGGGTGCACCAAAATCTCACAAATCACTAAAGAACTTACTCATGTAGCCAAATATCACCTGTACCCCTGTAACTTATGAAAAAATATTTTTAATAAAAATCTTTAATGATGTAGGAAAATTTTTAAAAAAAGAACCGCATAGAGGAGATGCTTGAAACTGAATACCATAGCAGTGGTTTCTATTGTATGTGTTTGTGTTTGGGTGTATATGTATGTGCGTGTGTGTGTGTTTGCATGGTATGGGAGGTGGCTAGATAGTTTCTTTTTTGGGTGATTGTCAAATGTAAATTCACTGAATTTTAAGCATAGGATGCAACTTCAGTTGTAGGCTCTAATTGAGGTATGAGTGTCTCTTATCCTGTGCTACTTTTCACAACCCTGAAAGGAGAAGGTGCTGTCATAGCTAATTATTACTGTATCTTGTTTATTACTGTGACAACAAAATGGTGTCTTGCTTGGACTAATCATCAACTATGTGGTAACTTGGTCCACTTTGAAACAATTTAAGTGCAACTTTGGAGCCCTCTCACTGTGTCTCCTTTACCCTTTAGCTCCAAGATGCTTGAATATTGTTGCTCAGAAGAATTAGTTAATATTTGATTTTCATCTTTACAAAGACTCTTAGGAAAAAGAATGAGGAAGTTTTACTTAAAGTGGGTTTATTAAGAATGATAATGTGGCTGGGCTCAGTGGCTCATGCCTGTAATCCCAGCACTTTGGGAGGCTGAGGCGGGCAGATCACGAGGTCAGGAGTTCGAGACCAGCCTGACCAACATGATGAAATCCCATCTCTACTAAAAATACAAAAATTAGCCGGACATGGTGGTGTGTGCCTGTAATCCCAGCTACTCAGGAGGCTGAGGCAGGAGAATCGCTTGAACCCTGGAGGCAGAGATTGCAATGAGCCAAGATTGTGCCACTCCACTCCAGCCTGGGTGACACGGTGAGACTCTGTCTCAAAAAAAGAAAAAAAAAAAAGAATGATAATGTTGTTCCTTTATCACTTATTAATTTTTTTTAGTGTTTGGTGTTTTTAGTGTTAACTGTTTATCCCTTTCAGATATGTAAAAGCCAACTGCCAAATACTTTCCAGTCGTTATACAATCAGGTCATTTCCTTTGGCTTTAACTCAGAAGTAATTTCCTTGATCTTTTTTTATGATTTCTCCCCCTGAGCTTCCCTTAATTGCTTTTCCTCTTGTGTGTTGATGCTAGATGTAATATTCTGACATACACCCCAGGAGAAGGCTTGTTTTCTCTTTCCTTCTATTCTCCTCCTCTTCTACTTTTTAAAATCTTCACTCTCTTTAAAATAATAAAAACCAAAGTCTTTTTCTTTTAGAGCATCTCAGACCCAAATTGCCACATAGTGGTCTTATAAAGGGAAAAGAGCTTTGGTGAACTTTATCAAAGTTTTTGTTGCTGTTGTGTTTTCATTTGTTTGTTTGTTTTTATATGAAGCAAACTTATTTTTTAATTGGAAAAATAAGCCATGGTCTAAGTATTAAAAAAAAAATTAAACCCTACAAAAGTAAGTCTCACTCCTAGCCCAGGCTTCTGACCCTAGCCTTCTTTCCCATATACAATCATTAATACCACTGTGACCCTTCTAGAAACACTTTAAGGTAGAATGTTTTACAGGAGGTTGAGGGAGGGAGAAAAGAATGAGAGTGCATTCTTTAAAAAAAAAAAAAAAACCAACAATATTGACAGATTATTAAGTTTTAAAAAAAGTCCTATAGTTTTTTTTTAAATATCAGCATCCATAAGTCTACTTTAATCTTTGTCACAACTGCATAGTATGGATATGTTATCTATTTTACCGCACCGTATCAGAGGACATTTAAATTATTTAATTTATTGTTTATTATGTTTGTTTATTTCACTGTTACAAGCCATGATGTGATGGTCATCCTTATTTGCATGTCATTTCCTCATAACCTGATATATTTGTTGGATAAGTTCTGCGTACACTAGGCATACATATCTATGCATGCATATATATGTTTATGATTCGAATACACAAACAGAAGTGCTAAGAACTTCAGCCTATACTCTGATTTCCCTACCTTACAAAGTCCCTTAGGATAGCAACTGGTACAAAATTACCTGATTCTTTTCAGGGTCACCTTTCATTTCCCTCCATAGGTGTAAATGTCACGGTGTTTATTTCTGCAGTGTAGGCATTCAGGGCCTGCAGAAGCAGTGTGGGTAGATTTCCCTGGATATGAGGTGAACTATGCTGAAGAAGTTAGAGCCAGCTGCACTCAGGGCTTGTCATAGTTTTAGAATGTTTTCATAGAAGCCTAGGCTGATAGCAATGGGAGAAGCCTCGGGTAAATGAATCCAATCCTCCCCATTCCCAAAGTAGAAGGACTAGGCAGCTAGGAGAAGTCATTCTCATGCCCAGGTAACTCACTCAAGTTGCCAACCGGGGTTTTTCTATCACACCATGAAAACCTGTGCTTCTGTCCTATATTGCCTGGAGGCTGACTTTCTTATCGCTTCCTGTTTCTCCTCATGACTTTGACTGGGTTCTCTTAACTTGCAGGCTTAGTGTTGAAAGGGACATTTAAAAGCCCCAGAACCTAGTTAAAATTTGACAGGCGGTTCTCTCTTGCAGGATAGGTTTTGCCAACTCCCCTGAGGCTGCAATCTCAATTTGATGACGGTTTTAAAGCCATTGTTAAAAATGAATAATACGAATTTTGAAAAAAATTTGATGGTTCTCTGTCTTTATTTCTCTTTACTTATTTATTTATTTGATTTTTGAGACAGGGTCTGGCTCTGTCACCCAGCCTGGAGTGCAGGGGTGCAATCTCCGCTCATGGGAACCTCCACCTCCCAGGCTCAAGCCATCCTCCCCCCTCAGCCTCCCGAGCAGCTGGGACTACAGGTGTGCACCACCACGCCGGGCTAATTTTTGTACTGTTTGTAGAGACAGGGTTTTGCCATGTTGCCCAGGCTGGTCTCGAACTCCTGAGCTCAAGCAATCCACCTGCCTTAGCCTCCCAAAGTGCTAGGATTACATACGTGAGCCACTGGGCCCAGCCCATCTCTTTTTCTTTAATCCCTTTTGAACAGTCTGAGGTGGCAAGAGAAACAATGGGCAGATAGGCTTGGCCCTGTTCACAGAGTATGGGAGGCAGGGAGGAGCAAGCAGAGACTTTTCTGTGAATGGTAACCTTAATGAATCAGATCACATTTGAGTTGGCCCTTTTCTCATTACAGGCAGAGAAGGTAGATGCTGCTTGGTATCTTTTCTCAGCTGAATTTACTTCCAGACAAGCAGGTCATCTGTTAGAGTCATTTAAGCTGAGTGTGCTATGACAAGGAGAGTTGGGAAGTCAGTACATATGTGCATGCATGTATTAGGTGTGTGTATGTGCACATTGTATGTATATACATGTGCATTCACTGTAGATGCGTATATACATACATGCACATGTGTGTATAGATGCAGGCATATGCACATAACACATATGTACACATATATGTGCACAAGACATTTTACAATTACCATTGTGAAGGAAAATAGAAATTAAGGACTTTCATTAACCTCTTCCAGGGAGAGAAAAAAGAAACTAATGTATTAAGACCTGAGAACAGAAAGTTCTGACAAAAGCAAGAGTGTTTCCCTTTTTAGAATGAAAAGTCTCTGGTAGGACAGATTCTGTCCAAATACCTCCTTTCTACCACAAACAGGATTTTAATGACAGCCCTTCCCTTGTAAATTTACATGGAGGTATCTCTATTGACTCTCGTTGCCATGGTGATTCAAAGAAACTGGTCTGGGACTGCAGTTTGGGATAACATTTTTCAAATAGGGTAAGGAGCCCAGGAATGCAGACTTTGTGGCTTGACAATCTGCTCTATTCTTAGGGTAAAAAATAACGTTACGCTTGGCAAACCAATTATGTTTTTGACAAGATAAATGCTTTTGACGTTATTCCTATTCTTCCTGGGTAATAGTTAAGTAGATAAACAAATTAAATTGACCTTAGAGATAAAAATTCATGCCCATTCTTCCACTGCTATAACTGTTCAAAACATTCTTTCCAGATTTCTTTGGAATGGATACATTTTGATGTGGGAGAAGTCATTCAGTATACTGAGTTGAAAACATTAATACTGGTATCAAATTGCCTGGGTTTGAATACCAGCTCTGCCACCAGCTCTGCTGGGAGACCTTGAAAAAATTACTTAAACTTTTTGATTCTCAGCTTCCTTGTTTGCCAATGGAGATGATAATAGTATCTATCATTAAAAGCTGTGCTGAAGAATAAGTTAATCAATATATGTAAGGCACTTAGAATCATGCCTGATCCATATCAGAGGCTATAGAAATATCAGATATCATCATCATCACATATTTCTATTATTATTATTACTACATTGATTCTTCTTGGGAAAAAATTGACATTTTTTTTGCACCCTACATAGATGGACTCTGGGGAGAAGAAACAGTCCATAGAACAGAGGCTTGGTAGAACTTTGAAATGACAGGAATTCTTTCAAGATCACCTAAAAATCTTTTTGAACACAGCTGAAAATCTCCAGCCTTTCTTTTCTTCCTTTAAACTCAGGTTTCATTATCTTTTAAGATGGCTATGATACCACAGATCCGTTGTACAAAATGACTTTTTTCCAGGTCACCACACACACTGTGAGTTTATGCTAAATCCCACTCTGCTGTTACAACCAGTTGGGATTTTTAGGGCCAAAAAGGTGAGTTAAGGGGTGTATGTACATTGATGAAATAAAAGGTGAGACTTAAGCTAGTTGTAGACCTTTGTATGCTCCAATTCTTTTAAAAAAATATATGAGAAAGCTGGGACTTCAGAGAAAGATTAGGAGTAAAACCGATTGTATTAGTGCTTTGTTGCCACGCTTTGAGACTTGTGATTTCAGAATGGCAGATCTGAGATAAGTTCACTGGGAACATCTGGTCCAGCCTTCCCATTTATGGAGGAGGAAGTAGAATCCTAGAAACATGAGTAGCTTGCCTGAGGTCAGCTAGGGAGGGAAGAACAAATGCAGGATGAGAGCCTAGATCACTTCTGGCCCAGTTCAGAGCTACCTTAAAAATAGAGCCATTTAGAGCTCTGTACCATATGGCCTTCTCCCTTTGTGTCTTCAACTAGGTCCTGTTGTGAGCTGTAGGAATGGGTTTTTTAGCCCCTTGACACTGTTGAATGATTCTTCTCGGATGTGAGGGGCACCGTTTGTTCCATGAGAGCAGCAGCTTCCTTGGGGGCCCGATGTTTTTCTTTTGAAATTCCAACAGGAAAGACCAGAATTCCATGTTCCCAATAATGCCATCTGTTTATTTGAAAGGGGACAAAAGATCACTGGGGATTGGCATTTGTTCTAGCTCTCTGCACTTTACCTCATACAAAGAAACTCTGCTTGTAAGTGCTATGATGAGGCTCCAAGTTGGCTAGCTGAACTTGAGGAATTCATCGGGCAGAGAACTATAGACTTTCAGTCATACAGAAGTATGTACTTGTTGCTGCCAGTGAGACCTTTGTGCGCCAAGGGAGTGTTGATGTGTAACCCTTAGTATTTTCATTGGCTTCAGCGTCTCTGAAAGAACAGCATTTACTGTCTTCTGAGAAGATAGGTATTTCTTTTTGTTGATTTTTCTTTTTTTTTCCCTCTCTCTCTAAAGGATAGAAGATAAGAAGTTTTATAATCCTAATCCTGACACTCAGTTGCCATGAACATTTTCTTCTCTTAAATGTATGTCCTTTGCCATTCTCTCATTTACCCACTCATCCAACAGTTCTTTCTGTAAACATTCATTAAACACCTACCAAGTGCCAGACACTGAGCTAAATGCAAGAGAAACAAAGGCAAATCATATGTAAGTCTGAAGGAACAAGGGGAGAGGGAAATTGTTGGGACTAGAGAAAATAGCTGTCATTCTAGAGGGGCATGCCTGCCTGGGGCTGTGGCCTTAGCTCAGCTACAGGAATGGGATCAACTACAGTGACTTGGAAGCTGAAGGGCAATGGTCTTGCTCACTCTCCTGTTGGTCTTTGCTTCCCTGCCAGTGTCCCCCATTGACTGCCCCCAGATGGAAACCTAAGGGCAAGGTACCCTTAGAGACCAGACTTCCAGGGAATATAGCAAAGGTAGAGAGTGCAACTGAAGGGCCAAGAAAAATATTGAGCACAGTAAAGTTTTGTAAATGAGTTCAGATAACCCTCTGGGGCAAAAAGGAAGGCATTTAAACTTGTAAAGGAATTACTTTTTGCTTGTTAAATGTTAACGTAGTGACTGGAGTTTTTGGACCTAATGATATCTTAGGGAATCAGAGAAGCGTTGAAGAGATTGTGGTTCTATGGTATAAAAAAGATAGTTCCAAATGTTTGCTGGTACTCTCATTGAGACATGGAATTACCGTTCCTTCTGTGAGAGCTGGATGCCTTTTACTGGTCTTCTTTGACTGGTGAAATTCAGTAGAAGTGATGTTCTAGGACTTACAAGTCTAGGTCATAAGAAGTCTTGCATATTATGTGTTAGAACATTCTCTCTGGGAACTTTAACCTTTGACCCACCCTGTAAGAAATCTAACTACCCTGAAACTACCGTGTCAGCACTCCAGTTAACAGACCCAGCTGAGCTCTGCCTTCTAGATGTTGTCCCCACGGCGTCAGACATGTGACTGTAACCATCTTGGACTCTTTAGATCTTTCTAGCTGCCAGATGAACACCGCTGAGTGACCTCATCTATGCCATATGGAACAGAAGAATCATCTAGCAGATGATCTAGTGATCTGAGAATTGATCCTTCTCAAATTCCTGGCCTACAAAAATTATGAGATAAAATTAAATGGTTTTTGTTTTAACCCACTACGTTTTGGGGCAGTTTGTTAGGCAGCAACAGATAATTGGGAAATGCTGCTACCCTCTCAGATTGATGATCCGTTCATTCTATATCTACATTAATAATGGGAAGTAACAACAATCCTCCACTAACCCCTACACATACATATATTCACAATACAACTTTAACCTTCCATTTCTATGATAAGTGATCTAGCTAGATCATGAAATCTAATGTGAAGCTGTTTAACTCTGGAGGTATTTTGATATATGGAAGTGGAAAAAGTGATAAAAAGCAGTAGCTCTAGAGGACCTAGAAAGTGCAGCATAAGGAAAGATTATAAACCCCATCCCCTTAAATTGCCTTTAAATAAAAGTTTAATTTAAAAAAACTATATAAATTATATGCTTCTTGCCCAAATGCCCCATCAAGGAAACAAACTCATTCATGTCAGAACAAACTTTGGGATTAGACCAATTTCTAAGAAAAAAATGCAAGAGGGAAATGTGCAGCTAATGAGACTTAATGGGGAAAAAGAGCTAATATTTATTAAGCACTGTATTGGTCAGCATACACTGGATTATATCACTGTAACAAATAAGCTCCAAATCTCAGTGACTTGTACAAGAAAAGCTCATGTCTTGCTTTGGCTACAGGTCAAAGTTAGGTTGGTATCTGTGTGGGGGTTGGTGTGTCTTCACTCACTGAAGTTATGCAGAGACACAGATAAGTGAAGCTTCATCTCAACATGTGATTCCACTATCTCTAGAGCATTAGAAAAGGGAAATGGCAGCTCATATACTGATTCTCAAAGTGAAACAGATGACTCGTATTTCCATTTCACTGGCCAAAGCAAGTCATATGGCTCTATACCCAAATTTCAGAGGGCAGGGAAGTTTGACTGGAAGAGGACAGAGCTGGAAATCCTTCGTAAACAGCACCAATTATGAACACAAGCATCTGTTATGGAGCAGACACTTTGCTAGGCATGTCTCATTCAATTCTGACAAAATCCATTATATAGGTAGAAGACAGGCCTACAGAGGTCAAGCACCTTGTCTGTGGTTACACAGCTGGTAATTGAGGAGGAGAGCCTGGAACTGAGGTCCTTAGGTCTGATTTCAAAGTGCATGCTTTTGTTTTGTTTTGTTTTATTTGACATGATGCTCACCAAGCATATACATGTCATTTAGGAACTAGAGAGGACAGTGAAGAGAATTTAATAATTTTATTTGTATTTTGGAGTCACTTTAATCTATAAAGCACCCTGCTGCCCCTTAGACCTGTGCTCTGAAGTGCACCAAGATGGTTGGTAAGTTACCGAGTCTCCACTGTGTTGAGAGCACTGTTCTTAGTCAGTGAGAAGAAAGAAAAAAAATCAGAAAACAGCCTCAAGTGTCCTTGAGAGTTTATTATATGCTAAAAATTAAGAGACAAATATCCTTTACAAAAGGCTTACATATACTTAAAGAGCCTACTTACAGATTAATACATATGCATCTCTTAAGCTTGAACAAGGTGTTTTATTAGATTGGTGCAAAAGTAATTGTAGTTTTTGCCATTACTTTTTTTTTTAATATTTTAAGTTCTGGGATACATGTGCAGAACATGCAGGTTTGTTACATAGGTATACATGTGCCATGGTGGTTTGCTGCACCCATCAACCCGTCAGCTAGGTTTTAAGACCCGCATGCATTAGGTATTTGCCCTAATGCTCTCCCTCCCCTTGCCCCCAACTCCCTGACAGGCCCTGGTGTGTGATGTTCCCCTTCCTGTGTCCATGTGTTCTCATTGTTCAACTCCCACTTATGAGTGAGAACATGCAGTGTTTGGTTTCCTGTTCCTGTGTTAGTTTGCTGAGAATTGTGGTTTCAAGCTTCATCCATGTCCCTGCAAAGGATATGAACTCATACTTTTTTATGGCATCATAGTATTCCATGGTGTATATGTGCCACATTTTCTTTATCCAGTCTATCATCGATGGGCATTTGGGTTGGCTCCAAGTATTTGCTATTGTGAATAGTGCTGCAATAAACATATGTGTGCATGTTCTTTATAGTGGAATGATTTATAATCCTTTGGGTATATACCCAGTAATTGGATTGCTGGGTGAAATGCTATTTCTGGTTCTAGATCCTGGAGGAATTGCCACACTGTCTTCCACAATGGTTGAACTAATTTACACTCCCACCAACAGTGTAAAAAAGTGTTCCTATTTCTCCACATCCTCTCCAGCAGCTGTTGTTTCCTGACTTTTTAATGATTGCCATTCTAACTGGCATGAGATGGTATGTCATTGTGGTTTTGATTTGCATTGCTCTAATGACCAGTGATGATGAGCTTTTTTTCAAATGTTTGTTGGTCGCATAAATGTCTTCTTTTAAAGAAGTGTCTGTTCATATCCTTTGCCCACTTTCGATGGGATTGTTTCTTTCTTGTAAATTTGTTTAAGTTCCTCATAGATTCTGGATATTAGACCTTTGTCAGATGGAGAGATTGCAAACATTTTCTCCCATTCTGTAGGTTGCATGTTCACTGTGATGACAGTTTCTTTTGCTGTGCAGAAGCTCTTTAGTTTAGTTAGATCCCATTTGTCAATTTTGGCCTTTGTTGTAATTGCTTTTGGTGTTTTAGTCATGAAGTCTTTGCCCATGCCTATGTCTTGAATGGTAGTGCCTAGGATATCTTCTAGGGTTTTTATGGTTTTAGGTTTTATATTTAAGTCATTAATCCATTATGAGTTAATTTTTGTATAAGGTGTAAGGAAGGGGTCCAGTTTCAGTTTTCTGAATATCACTAGCCAGTTTTCCCAATACCATTTATTAAATAGGGAATCATTTGCCCATTGCTTGTTTTTGTCAGGTTTGTCAAAGATCAGATGGTTGTAGATGTGTGGTGTTATTTCTGAGGCCGCTGTTCTGTTCCGTTGGTCTATATATGTGTTTTGGTACCATTACCATGCTGTTTTGGTTACTGTATGCTTGTAGTGTAGTTTGAAGTGAGGTAGCATGATGCCTCCAGCTTTGTTCTTTTTGCTTTGGATTGTCTTGGCTATACAAGCTCTTTTTTGGTTCCACATGAAATTTTAAAGTAGTTTTTTTCTACTTATGTGAAGAAAGTCAAGGTAGCTTGATGGAAACAGCATTGAATCTATAAATTACTTTGGGCAATATGGCCATTTTCACGATATTGATTTTTCCGGTCTATGAGCATGGAATATTTTTTCTATTTGTTTGTGTCTTCTCTTATTTCCTTGAGCAGTGGTTCCTTCAAGGAGCCTCTTGTAAATTGTATTCCTAGGTATTTTATTTTATTTGTAGCAATTGTGAATGGGAGTTCACTCATGATTTGTCTCTGTGTTTGTCTATTATTGGTGTATAGGAATGCTTGTGATTTTTGCTCACTGATTTTGTATCCTGAGACTTTGCTGAAGTTGCTTATCACCTTTAGGAGTTTTGGAGCTGAGATGATGGGGTTTTCTAAATACACAATCATGTCATCTGCAAACAGCAACAATTTGACTTCCTTTCTTCCTATTTAAATACCCTTTATTTCTTTCTCTTGCCTGATTGCCCTGGCCAGAACTTCCAACACTATGTTGAAAAGGAGTGGTGAGAGAGGGCATCCTTGTCTTGTGCCAGTTTTCAAGGGAATGCTTCCAGTTTTTGCCCATTCAGTATGATATTGGCTGTGGGCTTGTCATAAATAGCTCTTATTATTTTTAGATATGTTCCATCAATACCTAGTTTATTGAGTGTTTTTAGCATGAAAGTGTGTTGAATTTTATTGAAGGCCTTTTCTGCATCTATTGAGATAATCATGTGGTTTTTGTCATTGGTTCTATTTATGTGATGGATTATGTTTATTGATTTGTGTATGTTGAACCAGCCTTGCATCCCAGGGATGAAGCTGACTTGATCGTGGTGGATAAGCTTTTTGATGTGCTGCTGGATTCAGCTTGCTAGCATTTTATTGAGGATTTTTGCATTGTTGTTCATCAGGGATATTGGCCTGAAATTTTCTTTGTTGTGTCTCTGCCAGATTTTGGTATCAGGATGATGCTGGCCTCATAAAATGAGTTAGGGAGGTGTCCTTTCTCTATTGTTTGGAATAGCTTCAGAAGGAAAGGTACCAGCTCTGCTTTGAACCTCTGGTAGAGTCCAGCTGTGAATCTGTCTGGTCTTGGGCTTTTTTTGTTTGTTTGTTTGGTAGTCTATTAATTACTGCCTCAATTTCAGAACTCATTATTGGTCTATTCTGGGATTCGACTTCTTCCTGGTTTAGTCTTGGGATGGTGTATGTGTCCAGGAATTTATCTGTTTCTTCTAGATTTTCTAGTTTATCTGTGTAGAGTTGTTTATAGTATTCTCTGATGATAGTTTGTATTTCTGTGGGATCAGTGGTGATATCCCCTTTATCATTTTTTATTGTGTCTATTTGATTCTTTTCTCTTTTCTTCTTTATTAGTCTGGCTAGTGGTCTACCTATTTTGTTAATCTTTTCAAAAAACCAGCTCCTGGATTCATTGATTTTTTGAAGGGATTTTTGTGTCTCTATCTCCTTCAGTTCTGCTCTGTCTTGGTTATTTCTTGTCTTCTGCTAGCTTTTGAATTTGTTTGCTCTTGCTTCTCTAGTTCTTTTAATTATGATGTTAGGGTGTTGACTTTAGATCTCTCCTACTTTCTGATGTGGGCATTTAGTGCTATAAATTTTCCTCTAAACACTGCTTTAGCTGTGCCCCAGAGATTCTGGTACATTGTATCTTTGTTCTCACTGGTTTCAAATAACTTATTTATTTCTGCCTTAATTTTGTTATTTACTCAGTAGTCATTCAGGAGTAGGTTGTTCAGTTTCCATGTAGTTGTGTGGTTTTGAGTGAGTTTCTTAATCCTGAGTTCTAATTTGTTTGCACTGTGGTCTGAGAGACTGTTTGTTATGATTTCCATTATTTTGCATTTGCTGAGGAGTGTTTTACTTCGAATTATGTGGTCAATTTTAGAATAAGTGTGATGTGGTGCTGAGAATGTATATTCTGTTGATTTGGAGTGGAGAGTTCTGTAGATGTCTATTAGGTCTGCTTGGTCCAGAGCTGAGTTCAAATCCCGAATATCCTTGTTAATTTTCTGTCTCATTTATCTGTCTAATAGTGACAGTGGGGTGTTAAAGTCTCCCACTACTATTTTGTGGGAGTCTAAGTCTCTTTATAGATCTCTAAGAACTTGCTTTATGAATCTGGGTGCCCCTGTATTGGGTGCATATATATTTAGGATAGTTAGCTCTTCTTGTTGCATTGATCCCTTTACCATTATGTAATGCCCTTCTTTGTCTTTTTTGATCTTTGTTGGTTTAAAGTCTGTTTTATCAGAGACTAGCATTGCAAATCCTGATGTTTTTTGTTTTCCATTTGCTTAGTAAATATTCCTCCATCCTTTTATTTTGAGCCTATGTGTGTCTTTGCATGTGAGATGGGTCTCCTGAATACAGCACACCAGTGGGTCTTGATTCTTTATCCAATTTTCCACTCTGTGTCTTTTAATTGGGGCATTTAGCCCATTTACATTTAAGGTTAATATTGTTATGTGTGAATTTGATCTTGTCATCATGATACTAGCTGGTTATTTTGCACATTAGTTGATGCAGTTTCTTCATAGTGTTGTTGGTCTTTATATTTTGGAATGCTTTTGCAGTGGCTGGTACTGTTTTTTCTTTTCCATATTTAGTGCTTCCTTCAGGAGCTCTTGTAAGGCAGGCCTGGTGGTGACAAAATCCTTCAGCATTTCCTTGTCTGTAAAGGATTTTATTTCTCCTTTGTGTATGAAGCTTAGTTTGGCTAGATATGAAATTCTGGGTTGAAAATTCTTTTCTTTAAGAATGTTGAATATTGGCCCCCACTCTCTTCCAGCTTGTAGGGTTTCTGCAGAGAGATCCACTGTTAGTCTGATGGGCTTCCCTTTATAGGTAACCTTACCTTTCTCTCTGGCTGCCCTTAACATTTTTTCCTTCATTTCAACCTTGGAGAATCTGATGATTATGTGCCTTGGGGTTGCTCTTCTCAAGGAGTATCTTAGTGAGGTTCTTTGTATTTCCTGAATTTGAATGTTGGCCTGTCTTGCTAGGTTGGGGATGTTCTCCTAGACAATATCCTGAAGTATATTTTCCGACTTGGTTCCATTCTCCTCATCACTTTCAGATACACCAATCAATTGTAGGTTTGGTTTTTTCACATAGTCCCATATTTCTTGGAGGCTTTTCTTGTTCCTTTTCATTCTTTTTTCCCTAATCTTGTCTTTACCCTTTATGCCATTGAGTTGATCTTCAATCTCTGATATCCTTTCTTCTGCTTGATTGATTCAGCTATTGATGCTCGTGTATGCTTCACAAAGTTCTCATGCTGTGTTTTTCAGCTCCATCAGGTCATTTATGTTCTTCTCTAAACTGGTTATTCTAGTTAGCAGTTCCTGTAACCTTTTATCAAGGTTCTTAGCTTCCTTGGATTGGGTTAGAATATGCTCCTTTAGCTCAGAGGAGTTTGTTATTACCTGCCTTCTGAAGCCTACTTCTGTCAATTTGTCAAACTTATTCTCCATCCAGTTTTGTGCCCTTGCTGGAGAGGAGTTGCGATCATTTGGAGGAGATAAGGCATTCTGGTTTTTGGAATTTTCAGCATTTTTGGACCAGTTTTTCCTCATCTTTGTGGATTTATCTACCTTTGATCTTTGATGCTGATGGCCTTTGGATGGGGTTTTTGAGTGGGTGTCCTTTTTGTTGATGTTGATATTATTGCTTTCTGTTTGTTAGTTTTTCTTCTAACAGGCCCCTCTGCTGCAGGTCTGCTGAAGTTTGCTGGAGGCCCACTCCAGACCCTGTTTGCCTGGGTATCACCAGTGGAGGCTGCAGAGCAGCAAAGATTGCTGCCTGCTCCTTCCCTGGAAGCTTTGTCCTAGAGGGGCACCCACCAGATGCCAGCCAGAGCTCTTCTGTATGAGGTGCCTGTCAACCCCTGCTAGGAGATATCTCCTAGTAAGGAGGCACGGGTGTCAGGGACCCACTTAAGGAGGCAGTCTGTCCCTTAGCAGAGCTTTGCTGTGAGATTCTCTGCTCTCTTCAGAGCCAGCAGGCAGGAATATTTAAGTCTGCCGTAGTGCCAACAGCTGCTCCTTCCCCCAGCTGCTCTGTCCCAGGGAGATGGGAGTTTTATCTATAAGCCCGTGACTGGAGCTGCTGCCTTTCTTTCAGAGATGCCCTGCCCAGTGAAGAGGAATCTAGAGAGGCAGCCTGGCCACAGCCGCTTCGCTGCCCTGCGGTGAGTTTTGCCGAACTTCCCGGCAGCTTGCTTAACACTGTGAGTGGAAAACCACCTACTCAAGCCTCAGTAATGGTGGATGCCCCTCCCCCTACCAAGCTCAAGCATCCCAGGTCGACTTCAGACTGCTTTGCTGGCAGTGAGAATTTCAAGCCAGTGGTTCTCAGTTTTCTGGGATCTGTGGGACTGGGACCCACTGAGTGAGACCACTTGGCTCCCTGGCTTCAGCTCCCTTTCCAAGGGAGTGAACGGTTCTGTCTCGCTGGGGTTGCAGGTGCCACTGGGGTATGAAAAAAAAAAACTGCAGCTAGCTCAGTGTCTGCCCAAACAGCTGCCTAGTTTTGTGCTTGAAACCCAGGGCCCTGGTGGTGTAGGCAAGTGAGGGAATCCCCTGGTCTGTGGGTTGTAAAAACCATGGGGGAAGCATAGTATCTGGGACAGATAGGACAGTCCCTCATGGCTTCCCTTTGGCTGAGGGAGGGGGGCTCCCCCAGCTCCTTGCACTTCCCGGGTGAGGCAACGCCCTACCCTGCTTCTGCTTGCCCTACATGGGCTGCACCCACTGTCTAACCAGTCCCAATCAGATGAACCGGGTACCTCTGTTGGAAATGCGGATATCACCTGCCTTCTGCATTGGTCTCACTGGGAGCTGCAGACCGGAACTGTTCCTATTTGACCATCTTGCCAGGAGTCCAAAAGCTTTGCCATTACTTTTAATGAGAGAGGATTCTTTTTATATAGCAAATAACAAAATGTTGGAACTTGTTCAGGTATAAATATTTATTATTCTAAGCAGGGTGTAGGGCAATATAGAACAACATTTTTTTTTTGAATCAGGGACTTTTTAAGAATCTGCTGAAAGCCATTTTCTCTCTCAGGAAAACGTATTTACTCACTGGATTTTTTTTTTAACTGTTTCTGGGGTTCCACAGATGCATTTCTCCACTGGAAGTCCATCTATTTGTTTAGGATTTCATGGTTTAGATAAATATTCAATTATAAATGTTTAAGTTCTTATAACAGTACTTGCCACATATTAAGTGCTCAATAAATGTTGTTGAATGAATGGAAAGGGGAGGAAGGAACATTCAAGATATAGTTCTAGTCTTCTCTAATCCTGTAAGGAGTCCAGTCTATGCTCTTTGTGTATGGCTGTGACTCAGAAGGATGGTCTTTGTTTTGTTCTGGAGTGTCTGAGCACATTTTTGTTGTGGTGGTGGTGCATTGCATGTGAACTGGGCCTTGAGAGAAGTTCAAATACTGAGTGAAAATAAAGTAATGGTCTGATTATAACTGTCAGATCGGGTGGTTAGACTGGTTCCTGAAACATAACCAATTCCAAGGCAAAAGAAAAGACATCTCTTCATCTACCCTTGACTTAGCACCTGCTGAATAGTAGGCACTTGTTAGGCATCGAGGAAATAGATATTAGCTGTAATGGAAGCATGGACAACTTGCTATGGGATCATAGAAAAAGGCAGGGCCTCGAGGAGCAAATAGGAGTTTGTCAGGTTAGAAGGGGAGTCTACTCAAAGGGGAACAGCAAAGGTCTGGGCAATTGAATATGCATGGAATTCTGAGCATTTCAAACAATCTAGTACTTTTTTAGGCACTCAAAAATGTTGGCTAGGTGAATGCATGAATGACCATTAAATGAGATGATCTAGATATGGCCAGATGGGATAGAGATAACGTTGAGAAACGTTTGGAAGTAGAATGGGTATGACTTGGTGATATGTATGCAGTAGCAGATCTGGATCTGAGTAGGGAAAAGGGAGAAGGGAGAGAGATAAACAGAAAATTGTTTTTTGATATTTGGTATGTGTGACTCTTGGTGATGTCACCTATGTTGTCTCTACCCTTTCACCTGCTAGTCTGTCTTTAAGGTCATTTTTTGAGGATTGTAATGTGGGACCATGAGCCCCCTTCAATCCTGTATGTTCTATCTTTAGTCCTCTAGGTGTGGATCTTAAGAGTCAGGAATAGACAACAGAGCAGGGATAGGAGAGTACTTTCAGAGAAACAGAACATGCTTGTTTGTAAGGGGGTAATATATTGGATGAATATTTCAGTGGCTGTTTCTTTTCAACCATACATCCTGACTGACCATTCGGGTCACAGAAAATGCTGTATCTTAGCACAGTCACCCTGTGTGTGGCTCAATTCCTATCCCTGGGATTTATGATGATGCTTATTTGTTGAACATTGCTTTTGATGAGCTCCAGGTGTTAGCACAGCAACACTGGGAGGGAACCAGAGTTACTGCTCTTTAACCAGTGATAAAACAGGCTCAGGGTGATTCCTTACCTGCCTAGGGTCATAGAGGTGCTACTGAAACTCAATCCCTTAGGATATAAGATTTAAATTCTAATACAGCACTTAAGGAAACATTTAAGGAAATGATTTCTTAAGGAAAAAAACTCATTCTATGAGGGAGTTACTCTAAATAAAATTGTTTTCTGTTTCTTCTTCTTTTTAACTTTCTCTACAAAAGTATGTTCACGTGGAGAAAAATGCCCTGGATGAAGAACCAGGTGATCAGGATTTTAGTCTTGGTTCTGCCCCTAATTACCTCTGTGGTCTTAGAGAAACCTTTGAACATTTCTATACCTCTTTTTCTTGTGACATCTCTCTGAGTTTGTACCATTGTTATAGGACCAAGCTTGTATGCCTGCTGCATAGTAACAGACCAATTACACTGAGACAGCAGGGTTTACAGTGGAGAAAAAGTTTAATGATTGCAGATCACCAAGTGAGAAAATGGGAGAAGACCCTCAAATCTATCTCCTTGAGGAGTTCTGGACTGGGGTTTTAAGGGGATTATGGAGGGTAAAGGGCTGAAAAATTGGGGTTTTTCATTGGTCAGGGTAAGTGGGATGAAATAATCAGGATGTGGAAACTGCATTAACTGAGAATCCAGCTCTTTGGGGAGTCCTTCAGACCAGCTGGCATCAGTGAGGTTCTTCAGACCAGCTAAGTCAGTAGTTTCATCAGCATGCAGGACCTGAGGGAATATCTCAAAGGGAAAAGCTTAACATTTTATAATGTTCAAGTTCTTATCTATAGAACAGTTAAGGGGAACTATAATCTTGTAACAGGCTCTATATGATTATTGGACAATAGGCAAACAACTATGGGGAAGCAGGTCAGAGAGCAAGCTGACCTCATGACTAATGCTGAATGCGTTGCAAGCTTGCTTTCAGTTCTCCCTCTCCCTTCTTCTCTGATTAACTTTATAAAGTTTATAGGGACAGTTTTACCATCTATCTCTAAAGTTTTGGTTAGCTGTAATAGCCTATATTCTTTTTTCTTCTGATGTAAGTTATGGTAATGAGACATCTTTCAAACTGTTTGAAATTAACTGTGGATTGAAAAGTAAATCAAACATATCATAAAAATAAACATTGTCAGAAGATATTACCAGCATTTTTCAAGCAGTAACGGTTTCTGAAGTAATATGATTATAAATCCCTTTTATGCCAGTCAGCCTGAATATCTCCCTCCCTCTCCTCCCTCCCTCTCCACTCTTTCTCTGCTTTCCTCTCTCCCTCTCTCGCTTATCTCACTCTGTCTCGCTCATGTCCATATGCCTCATACAGTGTATTGTAGGGCTCACAATTATTTTCAAGGCTATTTCCATCATTTTAATGATCTGAATATTTAGAAACACCTAGAAGTATGACATATTACTTAAATTTGCAGTAGCGTTTTAGTATTCAGATGATATTTAAAATAATAGGGCTAGTCATTAAAAAGAAACAAGGTTCTTTCAGGCATTCATATTCATAGCTTAGTATCACTGTAATTCAGGGCATTATATTATGTTTTAATTTAGGTGGCTTTGTGTGAGTGGGCAGCTCAGGGAGTGGGGCGAGTAAGGGGAGCAAAACAGATCACCCTAAATTGCAACTGAGAGTTGGTACAACGTCCCCTTATTTTCCAGAGAGGCATGATTGTGTTTCAGTGTTACGGGCAATTACACAAGTAAGCTAGACTGAGTGGAAGATAAATATATATTTTTTAATTGGATTTTTTGATTTTCCAATTTCCACAATGTGATGGTGTTTTCGACAGAGTTCCTCAGTGGTCCCTGGATAAGAATGTTAAGGAAATTGGTGTCTCAACTTTGGTGCTATCTGTAGCATTCTGTCCAACTCAGGCATATTGGCCTGGGTGAGTGATAATCTTTTCTGAAAGTACAGTGTTTGAACTGTACTCTACACACTTTACTTGTATTTATCTCATTTTATTCATCATAAAACCTTCCAGGATTGGGGAATGCAGGGGTCCTTATTATTAACTCTATATTATATATAGGATAATTGAAACTTAGAAAGGTGTATCGGCCGGGCGCGGTGGCTCACGCCTGTAATCCCAGCACTTTGGGAGGCCGAGGCGGGCGGATCACGAGGTCAGGAGATCGAGACCATCCTGGCTAAAACGGTGAAACCCCGTCTCTACTAAAAATACAAAAAATTAGCCGGGCGTAGTGGCGGGCGCCTGTAGTCCCAGCTACTTGGGAGGCTGAGACAGGAGAATGGCGTGAACCCGGGAGGCGGAGCTTGCAGTGAGCCGAGATCCCGCCACTGCACTCCAGCCTGGGCGACAGAGCGAGACTCCGTCTCAAAAAAAAAAAAAAAAAAAAAAAAAAAAAAAAAAAAAAAAAAAAAAAAGAAAGGTGTATCAGGCCGGGAGCCGTGGCTCACGTTTGTGATTGTAGCACTTTGGGAGGCCAAGTCGGGCGAATCACGAGGTCGGGAGTTCGAGACCGGACTGGCCAACATGGTGAAACCCCATCTCTACTAAAAATACAAAAAATTAGCTGGGCGTGGTGGCGGGCACCCATAATCCCAGTTACTCAAGAGGCTGAGGCAGGGGAATTGCTTGAACCTGAGAGGTGGAGGTTGCCGTGAGCCAAGATCGCCTGACAGGTGGAGGTTGCAGTGAGCCAAGATCGTGCCATTGTGCTCCAGCCTGGGCAACAGTGCAAGACTCTGTCTCAAAAAAAAAAAAAAAAAAAAAAAAAAAAAAAAAGAAAAGAAAGAAAGGTGTATCAATTGCCAAAGGTCACATAGCTGAGATGTAGTAGAGTTTGAATTTGACTCCAGGTCTCTGATTTAAAAGAGTCTGAGATAGTGCAGTGTTTCTCAAACATCAACTGCATCAGAATCGCCTAGGGAGCTTGCTGAAACAGCTTCCTGGGCTCCATAGTCACAGTTTCCAAATCAGCAGGTCTGGGATGGGCACCTGGGAAAAGTGATGCTGCTGCAGCTGGTTTAAGGACCACACTGAGACCATTGGTGTGATGTACAAAAATGAAATTGTTAGAATCAGGCTGCCTGGATTCAAACACTGGCTCCACTAAGGGCAAGAACTGGGAAAAGTCGCTTTATCTCTGAGCTATTTATTGCTCATCTATACCTGCTTCACAGAGTTGCAGTGAGGATTAGATGAGATAAAGCATTTCAAATGCCTAATGGAATGTCTGGAATGTAGAAGTAACTCTGTAAAGTTACCTATTGTCATGTTTCTTATTACATTACACTGCCAGGACTTAGCTAGTCTTTCTCATGCTTTGAGACATATATTCTATTTCAATGTCCCATTATTTGCCTGTCCCACACAGGTTGTTTTCTATCAAACTCTCAGGTATTCTTTAACTCCTTCTTCCACAATTACTGTCTCTAGCTTACATCCTTCTCCCCCCAACCAAAAATTCAGTGTTTAGAAGTTTTCACATCTGCTTGAAAAGAATAAAACTTCCAAACCTCTGGCTTTGCGGTTTTGCCTCAACTTTAATTATCTCCAGCTATTCTGCGTCTCGTTCACTTTCTGGCACAGAAAATGCAGTAGAATTGTTTGACTTGAGAAATTCTCTTTGAGAATAAGCTCCTTGAATACAGAGGCTGTGTGCAACAAATCTTTGCCCTTCTTTGGAGCAAAAATGCCTCCCACAGTTAGCAGGATCTGAACGAATACTTGGTGAGTGAATGGCTAAGTGAGGGAACTGGAAGGCATGAGGTCAGAAGAGCTTTGCCACCCAGTGTGGATTGTTTTGCCATTGTGGAATTTGTTTTCCTCAGTGAAAGGCTCGCATTAGAATTCAGAAATTTTAATTCTATATCTTTTCAGTTACCCTCTGTACACTCCCCTGGTCAAATGGTTTCTTATCCAACAGTTTGATAACAATGCTGATAGCAAAAGGCTCTGTGCATGTTCCTCTTTAGCTCTCTTTATAACAAGCATCTCCTTACTGGGTACCTGGTGCTGAATGGAACACAAACCATGCTAGTGTACACTCTGGAAATTTTCTTTTTCAAAATCCCCTTGGCTCAATTCAAGAAGCTATTATTTTTGTTCCAGGATCAGGCTGATGGGCATGGAGACATTATTATCCTTTGGTAAGGACTGTTATTTTTGCAGTTTGGAGGATGCCCTAGATGTATTCTGACAAGAGTGGGTCTCCAGTGGGATGTGCTATGATAACAGAATAGACGTCAGCAGTTTCTCACTGAGTCCCAGTGTGGGGTTATTTTGCATCCCAATTCATCCTAAGTAGGACACGGCATTGAATTGGGAGAGGTTGCCTCACATGCAAGATGATCTAACACCTCATCCTGAATTAGTGTGGCTATAACACATGTAGAAAACAATGGCAATTTAAAAAGATATTTTATAACATGTTTTGTTCCTGATGACAAAAATGTCAGCAAGTTATGATAAAATGTATACAAATTTAATGAAGAATATAACAAGGCTAAAACTTGGGGATAAATTCTACAAGTCTTTAATTCTCTTTCTCTCTCCATTCTAAAACAAAATTAAGTAATAGAATATACTGCTATGTCTCACTTGCCAACACAAAGTATTTTCTCATAATCTTTATATGTTCTCCAAGATTCAAGGCTACAACTTTCATTGGCTATGAGGAAACCAATGGGATGGATAGGACACACTTTATATATCAATCTCAATTATTTTTGGATATTTATATAGTTTTTCAAATTATTTGCATTATAATAAATGCTGTATTGAACTTTAATTCATACATATACATTTTTCTATACATTTATGATAATTTCAGCTTAAAAACTACACAAAAGTAGAATTTTACTGGATTACAAGTAATGAGTATGCTCTTCTGTTTCATAAATTTCAAGCTACATTTTTAATGTAAATTATTCTAATACTTAAGATTTTATTGACGATGGAGTTATAGAAAACCTCAGTAAACCAACATCCTTTAAAGAAATTGACTTGGTAGTCACAAATATGCCCTTATGAATCCCACATATCTCAAATATAAGAAATACATCAAGCCAATAAAATTTGAATGCAAGTTTCATCAAGCCTCAATGAACTGGTAATTATATGTATTTCAGAGAACACAAAAAGAAAAAAAAGGCATCAACTCTAATTTATAGATAAGTATTACTTTGACACTGAAACCGGATACTGACAGTAAAATAATTCTAATGACTGATCTTATTTAAGACCATAAATGAATAATTCCTAAATAAAATGCTAACATATAAAAAATCTAGTGTTTTAAAAAATACGAGAAGAATTTATTTCAGGAATGAAGAAGTGAAAGATGGATTTGTGTATCAATATCTATCTATCTATCTGTCACCATATTAATATCTAAGAGATTAAAGGAGCAAACATTAACATTGTCCTACTAGGTATAATGGATTTTAGCCTGAGTATCCTAGGCTGCATCTGCTGGAAAGCAGAGCCTGATGCACAGATTATAATGTTGACACTTCGAGGGGTATAAATCCAAGCAGTGATTGAGGAAAATAGGTGATGTGAGGCAAGAAAAGATGTACAGCGATTGTGTTGCTGTGCTGGCCACCACTTCCGTACAAGTTCAGAGACATTCAGTTGCAAAGACATTTAAGCATATTCCCTCTGCTTATGGGAACTTTTCTAAAAGGTTTGTAAGAGGAAACGGCACTGCGGAGGGACAGGAGTGGAAATGTATCTGTCTGGTTCCCTCCTGACTCTTGCTTCCCATTGGTCAAATTTTATTCCACAGAGATCTAATGCTTCTATACATTTGGCAACTTGGTAGCTACTCAAGAAGCCATTTCCCAAGCCCTGTTTTGTGGCATTTCATCTAAGACCAGAAGTGGAGGGGAGATTCAGCAGGTCAGACTACCAACCAAGAGAGAAGGAGGCAGCTGAGGGAATGTAGAAAGCATACAAAAAAAAAAAAAAAAAAAAAAAACCTTACATACAATACCACACAGAAAAAGCATTGCGTGCAACTTAACACTTTTTTGTGAGAAAAAATAAATAAAAAGAAAACCTCTTAACCAACTAAGAAAGAAAGGGAAATTACATAATATGATGAAATACATAGCAGTGAAGGAGGGAATCCAAAAGCTATGACAAATTTTATATTAGTAAGCATTTAGAAATGGTACTGTTAATTTGGGTATGAGACAAGGATGCACATCTCCACTGCTACTAATCTACCTTGTACTGAAAATCCTAGCCCTTCCCACTAAAAGTAAAACAAAACAACAGAAGAAAAAGAAAAAAAAAACACAGAACTTAACCATATGGTTACAGGGAAGATGGAACATGCGATTTCTAGCTGGTGGTTATGTGCTCAGCTGAAATTGGTGTGCGTATCTGTGAAGAAGGAATTCTTTTTTTTTTTTTTTCACATGCATACGTATGTTTATTGCGGCACTGTTCACAATAGCAAAGACTTGGAACCAACCCAAATGTCCATCAATGATAGACTGGATTAAGAAAATGTGGCATATATACACCATGGAACACTATGCAGCCATAAAAAATGATGAGTTCATGTCCTCTGTAGGGACATGGACGAAGCTGGAAACCGTCATTCTGAGCAAACTATCACAAGGACAGAAAACCAAACACCGCATGTTCTCACCCATAGGTGGGAATTAAACAATGAGAACATTTGGACACAGGATGGGGAACATCACACACTGGGCCTGTCATGGGATGGGGGAAGGTGGGAGGGATAGCATTAGGAGATATACCCAATGTAAATGACAAGTTAATGGGTGCACCACACCAACATGGCACATCTATACATATGTAATATACCTGCACGTTGTGCACATGTACCCTAGAACTTAAAGTATAATAATAATAAAAAAAGAGTTCTTCTACCAGTAAAATTATTGTTTTATTATAGGGAATCTGTTTTTTCCTCTCTGGCTGAATTTAAGATAAATTTATATTTATTAGTTTTTGCAATACCCTTACTTTGGGTGTTTGTGTGCATATGTGTATTTATGTGTGTATGTGGTTTAATTCTAAATGGAATCCGGTGATCTCTCTCAACTTGAGCATTCATATGTTCTGTAATTTATAAAAAGATTTCATGTATTATTCCTTCTCTTTTTTTCTAGAACTCAAAGTATACAATGTCATATTTTTCCTTCCATTCTCTATGTATCTTTATTTTTCTAACATATTTTAGAAAATATTTTTACCTGTATATTGGGTAATTTTTTAGCTATATTTTCCTGTGTGCTGTGTCTCTCCTTTTCTACAAATCCTCTGCTACTTATTATCTCTTTTACATTTCTAGTTTTTTGTTAGCTGCTGTCTTTCTTATTTATACATAATAATTGTACATATTTATGGGGTGTATGTGATATTTTGATACATATGTACAATGTATAATGATTGAATCAGGATGTTTAGGATATCAATCACCTCAAAAATGTTTTCCTTTCTTTGTGTTAGGAAACATATTTCAAATCTTTTAGATATTTTGAAATATATGAGAAATGATTGTTAATTATAGTCATTCTACTTTTCTATCAAACGTAAGAACTTATTACTTCTAACTGTATGTTTGTACTCATTAACCAACCTCTCTTCACCCCCATTCATCCTTCCCACCTTTTGATAAGCATCATTCTACTCTCTAACTCCATGTGGTAAACTTTTCAGTCCCCACGTATGAATGAGAACATGTGATATTTGTCATTCTGTGCTTGGCTTATTTCACTTAACATAATGAACTTCACTTCTATCCATGTTTCTGCAAAAGATAATACGCCACCATAATCAAGTGAAATTTACCCCAGGGATGCAAGGATGGTTTAACATATGCAAGTTAATATATATGATATATCCTATCAACATAATGAAGGACAAAAACCATATAATCATTTTAACATATCCAGAAAAGCATTTGACATAATTCAATATCCTTTTATGATAAAAACTCTGAAAAAATTAGGCATAGAAGAAATATACTTCCGCATAATCAAGATCATATATGACAAATCCGCAGCTAAAATATTAAATGGGGAAAAACTGAAAGCCTTTCCTATAAGAACTGGAAAAAGACAAGGATGCCTACTTTCACCATTCTTTTTTTTTTTTTTTTTTTTTTTTTTTAATTGATCATTCTTGGGTGTTTCTCACAGAGGGGGATTTGGCAGGGTCATATGACAATAGTGGAGGGAAGGTCAGCAGATTAACAAGTGAGCAAAGGTCTCTGGTTTTCCTAGGCAGAGGACCCTGCGGCCCTCTGCAGTGTTTGTGTCCCTGGGTACTTGAGATCAGGGAGTGGTGATGACTCTTAACGAGCATGCTGCCTTCAAGCATCTGTTTAACAAAGCACATCTTGCACCGCCCTTAATCCATTTAACCCTGAGTGGACACAGCACATGTTTCAGAGAGCACAGGGTTGGGGGTAAGGTCACAGATCAACAGGATCCCAAGGCAGAATAATTTTTCTTAGTACAGAACAAAATGAAAAGTCTCCCATGTCTAATTCTTTCTACACAGACAGGGCAACCATCCGATTTCTCAATCTTTTCCCCACCTTTCCCCCCTTTCTATTCCACAAAACCGCCATGGTCATCCTGGCCCGTTCTCAATGAGCTGTTGGGTACACCTCCCAGACGGGGTGGTGGCCGGGCAGAGGGGCTCCTCACTTCCCAGTAGGGGCGGCCGGGCAGAGGCGCCCCTCACCTCCCAGACGGGGCGGCTGGCCGGGAGGGGGGCTGACCCCCCCACCTCCCTCCGGACGGGGCGGCTGGCCGGGCGGGGTGCTGACCCCCCCACCTCCCTCCCGGATGGGGTGGCTGGCCGGGCGGGAGGCTGACGCCCCCACCTCCCTCCCGGATGGGGCGGCTGGCCTGGCGGGGCGCTGACCCCCCCACCTCCCTCCCGGACGGGGTGGCTGCTGGGCGGAGACGCTCCTCACTTCCCAGATGGGGTGGCTGCCGGGCGGAGAGGCTCCTCACTTCTCAGACGGGGCGGCTGCCGGGCGGAGGGGCTCCTCACTTCTCAGACGGGGTGGTTGCCAGGCAGAGGGTCTCCTCACTTCTCAGATGGGGCAGCCGGGCAGAGACGCTCTTCACCTCCCATACGGGTTCGCGGCCGGGCAGAGGCGCTCCTCACATCCCAGACGGGGCGGCGGGGCAGAGGCGCTCCCCACATCTCAGACGATGGGCGGCCGGGCAGAGATGCTCCTCACTTCCTAGATGTGATGGCGGCCGGGAAGAGGCACTCCTCACTTCCTAGATGGGATGGCGGCCGGGCAGAGACGCTCCTCACTTTCCAGACTGGGCAGCCAGGCAGAGGGGCTCCTCACATCCCAGACGATGGGCGGCCAGGCAGAGACGCTCCTCACTTCCCAGACGGGGTGGCGGCTGGGCAGAGGCTGCAATCTTGGCACTTTGGGAGGCCAAGGCAGGTGGCTGGGAGGTGGAGGTTGTAGCGAGCCGAGATCACACCACTGCACTCCAGCCTGGGCACCATTGACCACTGAGTGAACGAGACTCCGTCTGCAATCCCGGCACCTCGGGAGGCCGAGGCTGGCGGATCACTCGCGGTTAGGAGCTGGAGACCAGCCCGGCCAACACAGCGAAACCCCATCTCCACCAAAAAAATACGAAAACCAGTCAGGCGTGGCGGCACGCGCTTGCAGTCGCAGGCACTCGGCAGGCTGAGGCAGGAGAATCAGGCAGGGAGGTTGCAGTGAGCCGAGATGGCAGCAGTACAGTCCAGCTTCTGCTCGGCATCAGAGGGAGACCATGGAAAGAGAGGGAGAGGGAGACCGTGGAAAGAGAGGGAGAGGGAGACTGTGGGGAGAGGGTGAAGGAGAGGGAGAGGGCTGAAGAAGGAATTCTAAGGGGAGGGGGAGTATCTCTAGGCAAAAGAAAAATGTGGCAATTAGGCTCTGGACTGTAAATAGTAGTTTCTGCCACATCTATATGAGAAAAAACCCCAACAGAACCCACAAACATTATTAAAAATAACAAAGGAGTTCAGAGGATTTCAAGATAAAACATTGACATAAAAAATCAATAGTGAACCCTATGTCAACAGTAATCAATTAGAAAATGAAATGGATAAGCACATAAATTATAATAACACAATCTTTATAATAACTAGAAATAAATTTAACTTCCAAATGTACAATATTCTTGCAAAGAAAATCACAAAACATCTCTTAAACACATAGAAGATAGTAATTCTTTTAATGATGTTAATTCTTCACAAATTATCCTGTAATATTGGTATAATTCCAATAAATTATCTAATAGAATTTTTCATAAAACTGAGGAAACTTACTCCTAAATTTATATGTAGAAGTAGTTGACCAAGGATAGCCAAGACAAACCAGTCAACAAACAACAGGAAATGAACAAAAAGCATCAACAGGAACAAAGGAAGAAAAACCTCTATGAGATGCTCAGTCTCTTTAGTAATCTAATAAATCCAAATGTAAACAAATAACCACAAGTTGACATTTTATGTGCCTCGGATTCATGGATGTTAAAAATAGTAATACCAAAAGTTGGAATGAATGTGGGGACTCTTGGATCTAGTGAAACTTAGGGTAGAAGTGAAATAGGTACACACGTTTTGAATAACAATTTGCTAACATCTAGCAAAATTGATGATGGCTATATTTTAATATCCAGGAATACTACTTGTAAGTATAGTCGGTCCTCGTTATTCACAGATTCTGTATTTGTGAATTTGCCTGCTTTCGAAAACTTATCTGTAACCCTCAAATTAATATTCATGGTGCTTTTGCAGCCACCTGTAGACATACGCAGAGCTGTGAAAAATTTGAGTAACTTGACATGCATGTTCCCAGCTGAGGTTGAACAAGGCAAAACTCTGCCTTCTTCTCCCATTTTTCATACTTTAAACAAGCTTCCTATCTGTGTTTGACTTAGTGCCATAATTTTCAAAGGTCTGTGCTTTTATTTGGTGGTTTTACTATTAAAAGTGGCCCCTAAGAGTAGTGCTGAAGTGTTATCCAGTGATCTGAAATGCAAGAAGGCTGTGATGTGGGTTACTGAGAAAATAGATGTGCCAGCTAAGCTTCATGCAAGCATGAGTTACAGTTAAGTGGCTGTGAGTTCACTGTTAATGCATCAACAATATATATGAAATTAGTTGACTTTTAAAAGAAGCACACATAAAACAAGGTTTTTATTGATTGATTGACAAAAATATTGTGACCAGAAGTTTTTAGGGGCCTAACCCTTTATTTCCCCCCAACAATAATGGTTCAATATTAGCTTATTCAGTGTTCAAAGTGACCTTATACAACATAACTACTGCAAATAACAAGAATTTATTATATATATCATAAGAAACTCTCACACATGCTCCAGAAGATATGTATAAAAGTATTCATTATTTGTAATGGTGACAACATAGATAACAATCCTAATGTCCTTCATGAAGGGAATGGATGAATACATTGTGTTATATTCATCCAAGGGAGTACCCTCAGTGCTAGCATTTTAATGGAGGGACATATAATAAAGAAAATAACTATGTAAAATATACAATATTTTAAAAGGCACTAAACATTATGGAGGAAAATTAGGCAGAGAATGGAGATAATAAGTGAGTCCTGTGGGGTAGTATGCTTTGAAATTTTAATAGGATGGTCAGGGAATGCTTCCTTGCAAAGGTATAAATAATAATTTGATCTTCTCTTCTTATTTCATAAGGTAGAACTTATTGAATTTATTAAATAGTAGTAGCAGATGTTCTTATTTTATTCTTGACTCAGAATCTAGCAAATAGTAGGTGGTGAATAAATGTTTACTAAATGAATGCCTTCATGTTTCATCTTTAAATATTATCTTAGCTATTGATAAATACTTCTGCATTTTGGTACTCCTAAAACTTTGCATATCTTTTCGTGTTTCACTGAGTATTTTAATTGGAATCTTGGAAACAGTGTTTTAGATATTGTCTGCTTTCCTCCATTCTTCTCTGGATGCCCATGATTGACATTTTAATCTAAGTGGAACATCATATCTGATATGAATTGATGCTCAATGAATGTTTTAAAAATTCAGCTAATGAAGAAACTGAGTGGGTGAAGGGAGTACCTTATTTATCTTGATTTATAATTTTCAAATAACTAAGTATTTGGTAAGTGGGCTTCTTTATGTTCTTTTGTTTTAGGCCCTGCAAATCATAGAGATGGGCTTAGCAAAGGGTACTACCATTTATTTAGCAATGATTGTGCTCTAGATTCAAGGCTCAGTCCTTTACATATAATCATGACAATACCCTGCAAGGTTTATATTATCTCTACAGATAAGAAAAAAATTTAAAGAAGTTTTGTGAATGTCTCAACGTCATGCAACCTGAACCATAGCAGAGCTGGCATTCCAACCCAGTTAATCTGACAGCAAAACCTGTTCTCTTTTCTTCACATAATGATACTGGTTCCCAGAGTCATAATCAGTGTCTTTAGAATGGCCTATTTATTTTTGTGTGTTTTTTTCCTGCATGGAATTTTATATTAAGTCTCTCTGTACTAAAGCATATCAGCAGATTGGGGGAACCACTTGTTGTTTTCAATTTAATAAACACTTATTGAGCTGCTACAGGAACTGTTTTTAATGCTTTTCCAAAAAAGTGACCTTCTCAACATGATAGAAAACATTTCCGAAAAACTGATAGCTAAAACTATACGCAGTGGAGAAAGATTGAAGGCTTTCCCCATAAGATTAGGAAAAGACAAACACACTAAAATCACACACAGCTAGTGTATAGTTGTGTTTCTTACATTAACAATGAGCAATCCAAAAAAGAAATTAAGGAACAATTTCACTTACAATAACATCTGTATTAGTCCGTTTTCACACTGCTATGAAGAAATACCTGAGACTGGGTAGTTTATAAAGGAATGAGTTTTAATTGACTCACAGTTCCGCATTGCTGGGGAAGCCTCAGGAAACTTACAATCTTGGCTGAAGGCAAAGGGGAAGCAGACACCTTCTTCACAGGATGGCAGGACAGAGTGAGTGCAAGAAGGGGAAATGTTAGACCCTTATAAAACCATCAGATCTCCTGAGAACTCACTATCACAAGAACAACATGGGGGAAACTGCCCCCGTGATCCAATTACCTCCACGTGGTCCTGACCTTGACATGTGGGGACTATGGGGATTAAAATTCAAGGTCTGATCTGGGTGGGGACACAGAGCCAAATCATATAAACATCCAAAAGAATAAAAAAACTAAGAATAAATCTACCCAAAGAAGTAAAAGTCTTGTACATTGAAAACAATAAAACATTGCTGAAAGAAATTAAAGAAGACCTAAAAAATAGAAAGACACCCCATGTTCACAGAGTGAAAGACTTAATATTGTGAAAACTTTAGTACTATTCAAAGTAATCTATGGATTCAATGCAATTCTATAAAAGATTTCAATGACCTTTTTCACAGACATAAGAAAACTGATCATGCTGGTGAGGATATGGATAAATAAGAACACTTTTACACTGTTGATGGGGGTGTAAATTAGTTCAACCATTGTGGAAGAGAGCGTGGCAATTCCTCAAGGACCTAGAACCAGAAATACCATTTGACCCAGCAATCCCATTACTGGATATATACCCAAAGGATTATAAATCATTTTACTATAAAGATACATGCACACGTATGTTTATTGCAGCACCGTTTACAATAGCAAAGACTTGGAATCAATCCAAATGCCCATCAATGATAGACTGGATAAATAAAATGTGGCACATATATACCAAGGAATACTATGCAGCCATAAAAAATAATGAGTTCATGTCCTTTGCAGGGACATGGATGAAGCTGGAAACCATCATTCTCAGCAAACTAACACAGAAACAGAAAACCAAACACTGCATGTTCTCACTCATAAGTGAGAGTTGAACGATGAGAACACATGGACACAGGGATGGAAACATCACACACTGGGGCCTATTGGGGGGTGGGAGGAAAGGGGAGAAAGAGCATTAGGACAAATACGTAATACATGTGGGGTTTAAAACCTAAATGATGGGTTGATAGGTGCAGCAAACCACCATGGCACATGTATACCTATGTAACAAAACTGCATGTTCTGCACATGTTTCCCAGAACTTAAAAAATAAAAAAAGGGGAAAACAAAACAAAACAAAACTGATCCTCAAATTCATATGGAATTGCAGTGCCCCCAAATAGCCAAAACAACCTGAGAAAAGGAGGAATAACTTCTTGATTTCAAAATTTATGATAGAGCTACAATAATCACAACAGTGTGAAATTGTTGCAAGGGTAGATAAATAGACCAGTAGGATAGAACTGAGAGTTCAGTAGTAAACCCATCTTTCTATGACCAATTGATTCTTGACAAGAGTTCCAAGACCTTTCCGTGGGAGAAAGACTAGACTCTTCAACAAATGGTGCTGGGACAACTGGATATCTACATACAAAAGTATAAAGCTGGACCCTCACCTTAACACTATATATAAAAATTAACTCAAAATAGATCACACACCTAAATAAATATAAGAGCTAAAGCCATAAAAGTAATTATTTATAACGGCTATGAATGCTTAGATTTGACACCAAAAGCATGATGAACTAAACAAAGTAAACAAATTAGGATTTATCAAAATTTAAAAACTTTACCAAGAAAGTGAAAAGAGACTTTACAGAATGGGAGAAAATATTTGAAAGTCATATTTTAGATAAAGGTCTGATATCTAGACTATATAAAGAACTCTCACAACTCAACAACAAAAATTTAAGCAATCAAATTTTAAAATGTGCAAAGAACTTCAATAGACATTTCTTCAAAGAATACAGACAAAGGGCCAACAAGCACATAAAAAGATGTTGACTACCTGTACATCCACGTTCAGGGCTGCACTATTCACAATAGCCAAAAGGTGGAAAAAGCCCAAATGTCCATCAACAGGTGAATGAATAAACAAATGTTTTATATCCATACAATGGAATATTATATATTTAGTCATAAAAAGGAATAAAGTACTGATACATGCTACAATCGGAATGAACCTTTAAAGTATTATGCTATGTACAAGATACCAGACACAAAAGGACAAACATTGTATAACTCCATTAATATGAAATATTCAGAATAGAGAAATCCATAGAGATGGAATGTGGATTGGTGGTTGTCAGGGGCTGGGGGAAGTGAGGGATGGGGAGAAACTGCTTAATGGTAAGGGATTTTACTTAGAAGTGATGGAAATGCTTTGGAACTAGATAGAGGTGGTAGTTGCATAACATTGTGAATGTGCTGAATCCCACTGAATTGTTTTCTTTAAAATGGTTTCTATGTAATGTGAATTTCGCCTCAATAAGTTATTTCTAAAAAATTATGGCTAGCTACCAGAGCTTCTAGTAGGTTTGAGATGGGTAGCAACTTGTCTATTCTTAAAACATAGCACACATGGTTCAGATGTGCAGCAAGGGTTGTGCACTGCTGGCCTCCACGCGGGCAGTGTCCTGGAATCTTTCAAAAGCATTTTCTCATTATCCTATTCCTATCTTCATTTTACCCTTATAGAACTTGACTCAGTGTATCATATTCTCTATGTGTGTGTCAGGTTAGGTCCTCTAAGAAGGAGATGCCAGGAGAGAAATAGACAAGCAAGAGATTAATCTGGGGGAAATAACTACAAAAAATAAAGTGGGAAGAGAACAGAGTAGGTAGAAAGAGCTTTCAGACTACGATGCAGTTTCTACACTTGTACAAAGAGAGAGGAAGGAAGAAGGTTGGGTAGGAAGGACCTCAGACTTCAGTTGAGCCCTGAGAAAGTTTCACCCAGGAAATGGGGAGCTCGAGAACAAAGACTGCTCATCAAAGGAGTTCTGCATTGGGCTGGAATCACCCATCTCTAGTTCCCAAACTATTCTGTCATTGGCTGAGAGCAGCTCTGAGAGAATGTAGCCTCAGTGATGAATGCTGGTATGGATCAGAAGGTATAGCAGCTGGAGGATGTCCACCAACTACACTTTTGCCAATAGGTTCTCTTGCAGGAAGATTTGAGCAGCATATGCCCATGGTCATTAGAGTGTGACACTGGAGAAGTTTTATCATCTCTCTGAACTGCATTTGCAAAATGGAGTTAATGTCATTTTTGTTACCAGGTTTTGAGAGGACTAAATAAGTAAAAAGTATCTGGTATAGTATGTGGACTTAATATTAGTAGCTGACTGTAATTCTTTTTCTGTTAACACATATGAGCAAACTGTGGCTCAGAGACAGAAAACTACCTTCCTGAAGGCCACATGGCTAGTAAGTGCCAGGTACAAGATTAAAATCCAGCTTAACCCAATGTCCTACATATATTATATTCAGGCACATACTTATCTAAAAATCTATGCCCAATTTTTGGAACTAGGGACTGCATGAACACTCTATATTCTATAAAGCTGTTCATGGAGAAACATCTGCCAGCCCTGGGGTGTGCACATGTGTTGATTTTACTTAATTTCCTCATGGCTGACTTTCCATTGGCACATCTCAGAGAAATGCCAAGCATCTTCTCTCATCATTAGATGCATATTGGCATTTGAAGCTTTTGGAAGGATTATACACTTCCAGCACTGAAATATTCATCTTCAAAAAACAGTATCTTAGGAGTAAAAAAATTAAGATGTAAATTGATTTTATTTAAATCTCGCCACTTCCACTACACAAACCCACCAAGTTAAAACAGCAAAACTGGAAATGACTCTTTTTTTTTCTTTTTGCAGTCATCTGTAGGGAGAGAGAGGAATAGCAGCTGCTCCTCATCTGGGTTGTTGGTGTCATGGCAGATAACCAGCTGAGGGCCTGAGAAGAGCCCTCACCATTACATTTCTCCTGCTGCTACTGCTGTTGTGGAGAGTGAAATATTAGTAGTACTAATAGCCAGGAGCAACCTGTGGGCAGGAAGACCTTACAGTCACGCAGCACCTGCAGCCTCTCACCCATTTGTCTCACTTCACTAGCTTTTCTGGATGTTATTTAAGAACTCAGCAGCCCATCTCTTCCTACCCCAAATTGCCCACACCATGAAGTCATTTGTCAGCTTCCACTGTGGAAGGGATGACACCAAACTGCTCTGGGCTTTCCCTGCATGTATTCTTTTCTGGAAAAAAAAAAAGAGAGAGAGGAAAGAGGTTCAGCTTTGCCATGTTTAGGAGATGATCATCTGGCACCCAGTTAACCTTGCAAGACAGTGTTAGACATGGGATTTAGTTCAATTAACATTTTTAGTGCTGATGACGGCTAGGTGCTGGAGATTTGGAATTGAAAAAAATAGTTCTTGTCTTCAAAGAGGGACACTCAGAAGCAAACAAGTTCCAACCCACCATAATAAGCATGGTGATAGAATTAAGATATGTATGTGGCAGAGAAAACAGAGAGAACAATGGTATGGGGTATGTGTGTGATGGGATATCTGAGGCCCTCAGAAAAACTTCTGCAAAGGCAGGGGATTGAAATCAGTCTGGTATGTTTGAGGGGACTTTAAGAATTGCTACAGCGTAATGCACAAGGAGGGAGCGGTTTTGTACATCATACTAAACAATTTAGACTTTATGAGGTTAGTGAGGGGAAGCCAGTGGAGGATAGTAAGAAAGTAGGGGAGATACGAGGTCATGTTAGTGTTTTTAGAACAATTCTGTGCTAACTTCTGATGGATGCTGCAGGAGAAGGACTAGAGGCTGGGAGATTGATTAAGAAGCACATTAGAGGAGTCCAGGTAAGAAAGGAAGAACAGAATTAATGCAAATGGCTGTGGCACTGGAGAGAAGGGTGGGGGAGATGTCCAGAGCTTTTGAATAAGAAGTAATAATAACAATAAGTAATAGCAACACAAATAGTAGTAATATAAACATTAGTTGCTGTTGCTGTAGTAACATTTATTGAGCTCTCAGATCTGTATCAGGTCCTGTGATAGGTAAGAACTCTTTTCATTTACAACAATCCAATGACATATCACAGGGACACAATTCCTGATCTATCATTCTAAAATATTTTAAATTCTGAAACCAAAAAGTTTCTCCAAACCCATTTGCAGTAAAGCTTGAACAGACTTCTGAACTCAGTGGAAAAATCTGACTTGAAATGACAGGAGGCTATTTAGGCTTTATTTATGTTACCACACATTTTTGCTGTAGGAATATAAATGTTTTTGATTGCAAGGTGCTCCTCCAGACCCTCCTGGCAATGTTAACCGAATATGCAAGAGGTGATATAATGCCCTCCGTGGGTGTTACAAATTATACTTTATATCCACTTTATTACTTTTGTAAATTCCAAAGCTTCTGGATTTCCATAACACATCTAACACCAGGGGTTTCAGATAAGGAATTGTGAGCCTATAGTTTTCACTTATGGCTGTGGAAATGGAGGAATAGATAGATTAAGCAATTTGTCCAGAGACATACAAATAGGTGGCAGCAGAACTGGATGGGAATTCAGCTTTTTTGGACTGGAGAGCCTGCACTTTGAACCATTTTTGCACTGTCTGCTTAGGTTGGCAGGAAGAGATCTTAGAGATCATTTTACAGATGAAGCAACTGATGTTTCTTTTTAACTAGCTTCTGGATATGGCAATGCCTTGCTTTAGAGGGATTCGAAGAGAGGAAGAATTTCCTTACCAAGTTTACTCAAATAAGTCCTTTGTCCCAAAGAAAAGATTCCAGGGCAATGGAGGAAATTTCTAGGGGTGGAGATTGGTGGCCAGCTGTGGCAGATTCATCAGGTAAAGGTGAAAGATAAGAGCTGCCCAATGTCATGGGGTGCCAGATCAAAGGCACTGGAATAAGATTCTGGTTCTCACTTTTCAACCAAGCAAAATAAAATGATCTCTCTCTCTCTCTCTCTCTCTCTCTCTCTCTCTCTCTCTCTCTCTCTCTCACACACACACACACACACACACACACACACACACACACACACGAGGAAGCTAGAAGAAACCTTGTCAAAATATTAACTGTGGTAGACTTTGGGTGGCAAGATTATAGATGATTTTAGCTTTGATTCTTAAAGCTTACTACATTTTTCACAATGGTCACTTTGTGCTCTTATAGTTAGGTAGTATGCTTTTAAATTTTTTAAATTATAAATTACACATTTTAAAGAGAGAGAAAGCAATAAGTGCCTTATAAACAAGAGACAGTCAGTAAATATTTGTTGATTTTCTCAATTAACAGACTTATGCTCCTTGCTAATTGCCCATGAATACCAGGAAGTTTAACGGTAACATTTTTAAATACTTGGAGTTATTTTATGTTTTACAAAATATTTTTCAATTTTTTTAACTATAGTTTTTTGATAAATTTATTTATTCATTGCAATAACAACATTTAAAAGGAATCCAAATATTTCTATGTCATAATGGGTTGTTTGGTAAAAATAAAATAACACTTACATAATAAACATTCTAGTAACATGAGAGAACTTAGGCATTCTTTTAAAGCTAATTAAAACCTAATTTTACCTGTATTAGGTTTTAATAAAAGAACTAAAGTCTTATATTGTCAAAGGGTTATGATATTTTATACTCATTAAGATTAAACAATAAAACATCTGTAAGCCACAGAAGGAAAATTTTTTATTAAGCAGCTAACTTGTGCAAGGATGATTAGGGGACTCTGAGAAAGTGGTTGGCTTAATCTCAGTTTTTAAAATATGTATGCTCTAAACCAGAAGTTTTAACATTCTTTAGCCTTTTATTGAATCACTTTATAATATTTTGCATTAAAGTAACAATAAATTACAACAGATGTGCTGCATGGCATGATTTTTTTCAAATACAACTTTTCTTTGGGCCTTGGTTTTCTCATCAGTAGCTGTAGATAATAAGCTGTATTTCATAGTAGTGTGCTGTTAAATGTTTAACAATCAGCTCTTATAAAAAAGATATAAAGGGAGAAAAAAGCTCTGATTTGCAGTGTTCCCTAACTCTGTGGTGTAAATTTCCCCGCTATTGCTGAATTCAATGTAACATTAAGGCATAATTAAATATAATATTTCTTTCCTTACTACATATATAATGCATGTAAATTATCTTAGCATAGATAATAGTAAAATGTAGTAAAATAATTAGAAAATGATGCTTTTGGGGTATTTATTACCTTCGTTCTTAATATAATTTTTAGCTTTTATAGTTTAAGTATTATTAATGGTTGTATTTAACAACCAGCTTGCAAAATTTCTGAAAATTTAACAGTTGATGCTTTGGAGCTAGCGCAAGCCAGCTCCAGCATTCCACTCACTAAGTGTTATGAAGATTAAAAAGAAATAATTAATTTTAAAATGCCTAATAGTGTCTTGGAGGATCATAGGTCTTAAGTAAATCTTCATTTTGTTTCCTCTTATTTCGTGTTTTATTAAGCCCCATCCTACTCCTCGGAGTCCATGACAGCATCTTTAGTTTTAACACCAATTCCAAAGACAAAATAGCTTCATGCACTGTTTTGAATATTCAGACAAACTGGTAAGCAGGATTTACTTACTATTATTCTGCTAAAAAGGGTCAGCTTGAATATATAGAAGAAAGACACCGACATCTCCATCTACCTTGTAATTGTGTGTTCCTGGTCACAAAACCTCTGTGCCTGTTATTCACTGCCCCCTTTTTTATTCTGGATCAATAATTCTTTAATTTTCCTTATCCTAGAACTGGCCTAGAAGAGAGAGTTACCTCATAAGAAAATCAAATCTGTTACTTTATTCAGCTTCAGGTGAGAGTTCTAGGAGGTATTTCCACTGGTATACTGGAAACAATATACACCCGACTAATTTTTTTAGAGTCACTTTTTGTTTTATTTATTTTCAACTATAAGCCATGTTATTAGAAGCCTATATGTACCAGAGTTCATGTAGTTTTCTTTAAAATATATTTTATTATGCTTTTTATACATGAAAGGTAAGACATGCTCAATGTAAAAAACATGAAATAATACTGATAAATATAAAGACAAAACAAGTTACTAATACTTCTGCAACTCAGAGAGGGCCACTATTATTTCTCTCCCCTGTGTGCATGAGTTATATAATTGGCATCATACTATATTTCCAGTTTAGTATTCAGTATGGATAATTTTTAATAGCCATGGTTAATCTAGAAGATTCATACATTATGTATGAGCATTGTTGGAAACAAAGTTTCATTAAATGCACAAACCTGTGTTTTCTTTTTTTATATAAATTATCATAATGCCTTAATTTCATGAATTAGTTGTGGGGAATTACACTTGCCAGTTGAACATAATATTATTACTTATACTCAGCTTCCAGGACAGGGTTAGAGCACATACACAAAAATGCACACAAACAGGTAACACAAAACACACATTTTGGGGACAAACATGAGCACAAACTCCAGCTTTGTTACTTGTCTGGCTGTGTGACTTAGGGCAAGTTACTCCAACTCTTTGTGCTCAGTTCTCTCACATGTAAAATGAGAATACTATTAATACCTACCTGAACGTGCTTAGGATGCAGGAAGCACCTTATGAAAGATAGCTACTGTATGTTCAGTTTTGACTGGCCCAATCCTGCCAGCTTGAATCAGAATAAGATGAGCCACTGACTATAGCAGCAATGGTCAGAGGATGAACTGTGGGGATAAAATATATAAGTGTTTAGAACTGTGCCTGACACCGAGTAAGTGCTTTGTAAGTGCTGTCACTGGCTGCCAGTTTATGTACAACTTAATGGTTAACTTATCATCCAAACTGAGAAAGTTTTGAGAGTGTTAAGTGTAATACTTTGGTTTTAAACAACAGGTGAAAACCAGGACTGTCTGGGGGAAATCAGGATAATCTTAGGCAAACAGACAGATATTCCACCCTACACATCCACCCAGCTCTTCCAACTTCCCGGAATATACACTGTTAATAGTTTCTTAAAACTTCTCCTTTTCTTCATAAGTGTGCAAGCAAACATACATACATTTTTAAAATTTTTCTTCCTTTTTACACAAAAGATAACATTCACTGTTTATTGTTTGCTGCTTCATTTTTTTTCACTTACCAATAATACATCCTGGAGATCACTTCATTGCAACACAAACTGTCGTCCTTATTCTTTTGTTGTTGTTGTTGACAGCTGCATTGTATTCCATTGTTTGGATATACTATTACCTTATTTAACCAACTCTCCATTGTTGGATTTTAGATTGTTTATAATATGCAGCTACTTCAAATATTGCTGTGATGAATATTATTGTACATAGGTTTAGAGAAGTAGAATTGCTGGATCAAAGGGTATATGCGTTTACAATTCGGAATGGTATTGCTAAGTCTCCCAGCATAAATAAGCCTTATACTAATTTGCATTTCCATTAGTGGTGCAAGAGAGTGCCCATTCTCCCATAGCATCAACAGCAAGCTATATTGACAAGTTTTTGTTTTGTTTTGGAAGTTGACAGTTATTTTAGTATAGTTTGGATTTAATAATATGCTACAAAGTAGTTGTGATGGTAAGCATCAATGTCTTATTCCTGACTTGAGTGATATGCCCTTTGAATTTCCCCATAAACCTGATCCATTTTATATGGTTTGGCTCTGTGTCCCTACCCAAATCATCTCAAATTGTAATCCTCATGTGTTGAGGGAGGGACTTGGTGGGAGGTGATTGGATCATGGGGGCATTTCCCACCATGCCGGTTTCCTAATAGTGCGGGAGTTCGCACAAGATCTGTTGGTTTTAAAAGTGTTTGGCAGTTTCCCCCTTCTCTCTCTCTCCTGCTGCCTGTGAAGAAGGTGCCTGCTTCCCCTTTGCATTCTGCCATGATTGTAAGTTTCCTGAGGCCTCTCCAGCCATGCAGAACTATGAGTCAATTAAACCTCTTTTGTTTATAAATTACCCAGTCTCAGGTAGTATCTTTATAGCAGTGTAAAAACACTAATACATTATTGTTTGAGACATTTTTTATTATATTAAGTCTCCCTAATTGTTGGATATTTTATCAAGTTTATTTTTTTATTTAAAAATTTTTTTAATGATTTTTTTTTTGAGACAGCATATCACTCTGTCACGCAGGCTGGAGTGCAGTGGTACGATCACAGTTCACTACAGCTTTGACCTCCCAGGCTCAAGTGATCCTCCGATCTCAGCCTCCGGAGTAACTGAGACTACATATGCACACCACCATGCCCAGCTAATTTTTTTATGTTTTGTAGAGACAGGGTTTCACCATGTTGCCCAGGCTGGTCTCGAATTCCTGGGCTCAGATGATCCCCAACCTTGGCCTCACAAAGTGCTGGGATTATATCTGTAAACCACCGCACCTGACCTTTTATCAAGTTCTAAAAACACTTTTACAATTCAGCTCTTTCTTTCTTTAGGAAAATCTGTATTTTTATTCGAGTATTATCTTGATAATTATAAATTAATTTAATACCCTTAGTCCTTTATTTATCTTACAAGGATCAATTAGTAGTCACAAGGAAGCATCCTGACTTTTTTCCCTCTTCTGCTTCCTCTCTCTTTCTACCTGATTTTAAGAAATGATATTACGTTTCTTATTGGTTAACTTTGTGTTGTTAAATGTGACTATATTTTATTATTTGATTTTTCAATTTTAAATGATATGGTTTGACTGACAGATGCTTTATATGAGAAATTAGCAATCTTACTCCATCTTTAAACTCCTTTCCCCCTTTCCCCATCTAATTTCTGTTATTTGCATGTATCTACACAGTCAAGATATTAACATATCAGCATTAGAGTGTTGTTTCTGTCCCAGCACCCTAATACTGACAGTTTATTTTGGTCTTATTTGAAGAGTTAAATGTATTCAGTGCACTGTTTTTTTGCCATACTTTCCTCAGTCATCTCATAATTGTCCTCTAGTATTTTTCTCAAGAAAGACTCCAAATTACAATATATCTGTAATTCCTATATGTTCAAAAATATTAGTCAGTGGCCTTTATAACTAAAGGACAGTTTGGCTGTATTTAAAATCTTTAGCTCTTAATTTCATTCTTTGAAAACCTTGCAAGTGTTGCTATATTGTATTTCAGTGGAGAATTTCTCTGTAGAAAAATCGGATGCAAGTCTGATTTATACCCCATGGTTTTGCATGGTTGCCTAGGCAATTCTTTAGAGCGTGTGATAAACTTTACTAAGACATGTCTCAGTATTGACTATTTTTGTATACATTTCTTGGTACATGCAGTAAATTTTTAATATATTTAATGCTTTTATTTCAGGATTATTTATTTATTTCTTGATTGTATGTTTTTAATTATTCTGTTTCACAATTACATTTAGCTTTCATTTAGTTTTGTTCATTGGAAACTGATTATGCATAGGTTGGTTCTTCTTTGCTTTTCTCATATTTTTCATTGTCTCTCTAATCTTTAATTACTTTTTCTTTCTTTATCTTTATGTGCCTTTTTTTTTGCTTTTCTCATTTTTAGTTTTTATGTCCTTTACTGTGCTGTCTTATGTACTCTTCTAGTGTCTTTTAAAATTTCTCCTTTGTCTCTGGTTTTTTCCCTTCCTGCTTGTTTCCTGGTTTCTACCAACTCTTTTCTTCTTGTTATTTTTCGATCTATTGTCTGATTTCTTATATTTGTGCTCATTGTCTTCCTTAGAAGACAAGGGGGATGGTTTCATTAAATTTTTAAAGCTAATGGTAAAATGTGTTCATCACAATTTTCATATGTCCATGACATTTTCTAAGAACTATGCTTTGTCTGTAAGATTTTTTTTTTGCTCTTTTCCACATTTTAAAAATATTTTCTTTGTATCATGTCTGTGCCAGTTCACTTTTTATTGCTCTTCAGTGAGCAAAAGTTTGATTTTCCTGAATTAGTGATGCACAGGAAATTTCTCTTTGAGGTGATGAGAGTCCAGAGTAAACTTAAGGGTTCTTTCCTTTGCTGCTGCTGCATAGACAGACTCATCTTATTATGTCTGTGCACTGTCTTCTCATCTTCTCTCAACCAGATTTAGTACAGCAGGGCTTCTGCTACCAGCTCTGCCCACCCCACCCCCATCCATTGCAAAAAAGGGATATGTCTTCTGCACTTCAGGTAAAACCCTCACTTACAAACGAGGAAATCCATCAGTGTTGAGTTCCTTTATAAGTCTATTTATTCACTTTTTTCCCTCCCAGGACAGCTTCTGCTTGCTCTGAGCTGCTTTTGGCAGCTCTTTTGTATGTTTTGATTTTCTGTAGCTTAAATTCGTCTTCTAGTCCCAGTAAAAATGGAGTTTGAGTTTTTAAAAAATTGTTTATTACTTTTATATGATTTTCATGAGAAGAACAAAAGTGTTGATTTATGCATCAATGAGCATATCAGAAGCCCTGAAGACTATTTCTGCCAAAATAAAAAACAAAGCAAAACAAAGGACGAGGTCTATGGTTCTGAACTGTACATTGTCTGTCTCAGCCTTAAGTTATTCCTGGGTTTTCTTAATGCTTAAAGGAGAATTCATATCCTTCTATGAATCCACATATCCTCTATAAAGACCCCATTCACTGCCCTCTCCCCTACAAAAAGCCTATAGTTGATGCTTCCTAGAATTTTCTAAACATAAACCTCTAACTCTTCAACTTCTGCAAATATTTTGTCTTCCAGCTTGCTAGATTGACGTTTGGTTGAACTCCTAAGATATCCCTTTCCCTTATGCCTCCTCAAGCAGAAGCTATTTCTCAAAGCCACATTACCAAGGCATACTATCTTCTCCCTGAATCTTCTGGTCATACAGTTTTGATCATTGAAGGCCTTGTTCAGTCTTACTTAGCCCCTTGCCTTCTGCTATTATCCTAGAAAATGTTTCATTTAATTAATCATGCCAAAAAGGACTCGGGCCTCACATTTTCTTGGCTCCTTGCCTTCTTTAGCAACTTTTTCTCTCCTCTACCCCATTTATTCTATTTGTCTTTCCTACTCTTGGCTTTGGTCATTAATACAAAACCCTACCTCCAATATCGCTAATTAAAACATCCCACTTTCCAGATCACTTGCTCAAATATCTCTATACAGTGATTCTATTACCTTGTTGAGATGTCCAAGTTATTGATTTCTTCAATTCTACCAGCCCCTTCCTGTTTCATTTTTATTCTATCCAGATAATATACCATGGCCTTCACTTAATCTCTCTCTTGCAAGTACTCTCAATCCATTGCAACTGCCTGATCCCAGCCAAACTGAACCCAGCTACTTGCTGACATTCAAAGAGCTAGCTCAAGACCGCTGGAAAAAAATCACACATGGGGGAAGGATGGTATCATTGTCAATTCATAAGCACCAACAAACATCTGGGCCCTCAGTAATGCCAAAATATGTTATTTAATTTCTTTATTGAATTTTTTCTTTATCACAAAATACTTATTAATATTTTACATCCTCCTAAAATCTCTAAACTTCTCCCAACCTTCTTCAAATGACATCTTTCTGTTCACAGAAGAAATAGAAGCCATCAAATAGGAAATCTCCCTTTTTCCAGCACAATATGGACAGACTTACCTGCATTTTCTTCCTTGATGATTAATGGAAGAAGCATCCCTTTTCTAATCAGCAGCCAATGCCTTTTTAGGTACTCCAGACTTCACCCATTCCCCCTGCTTTAGTAGGTATTCCCTCTAGCTCCCACAGCTTTGTCTCTGCTTCCTAACTGGGTTATCCTAGGAGCCTGTATCCCTGTCATGTCATACTTTATCTCAGCAAACTAACACAGGAACAGAAAACCAAACACTGCATGTTCTCATTCATAAGTGGGAGCTGAGCAATGAGAATACATAGACACAGGGAGGGGAACATCACACACTGGGGCCTGTCAGGGGGTGGGGGGCTACAGGAGTGATAGCATTAGGAGAAATACCTAATGTAGATGATGGGTTGGTGGGTGCAGCAAAGCACCATGGCACATGTATACCTATGTAACAAACCTGCATGTTCTGTACATGTATCACAGAACTTAAAGTATGATTAAAAAATAAAATACTTTCCCTTGATCTTGCACCTTTTAGTGACATTTTATAACAAACATCCTAAAATATTTTTGTACACTTGCTGCTTCTACTTTCTTATCTCTCATTCATTTTTTGATTCACTTCAATCAAAATTCCTCACTTTTTGATTCACTCCAATCAAAATTCCTCACCTGCTAACTCCACCTAAACTGATCTTGTTAAAGTCAACAATCGTCTTCCTAAATTCAAATAGTTACTTTTGAAGCTTTGTTTTGAATAACTCATAACAGCATTTAACATAGTTCTATCAAAACAGAACTCTTGATTTCCATCTCTGTACCCTAAATCTCTTCCTTTGCAGTGCCTCCCTTCTCAGAAAAAAGAAGCTCCATATATCTAGCAGCTCACACTATAAACGTAGGCATATTTTTTCATCTCTCTCATGTTCTATTCACATAACCACTTTTCCTTTCTTTAAAAAAATACTTTTCATTTATTTCTCTTCTCACTAACTGTAATTTTGTACCCTTTGACCAACATCTTATTTCCCTTATCCCTTAGCGTCTGGTAACCACAGTTTTACTTTCTGCTTCTATGAGTTTGATTGTCTCAGGTTTCACATATAAGTGAGAACATGTGTTTTTTTTTTTTTTGGTCTTTCTGTACGTGGCTTATTTCACTTAGCATAATGTCCTCCAGGTTCATTAATATTGTCACAAATGACAGAATTTCCTTCTTTTTAGGAGATAAATAGTATCCCATTGTGTATATATATTACATTTCCTTTATTTATTCATCCATTGATGAACACCTAGCTTAATTAATTTCATAGCTTGGCTACTGTTAATAATGCTGCAGTGAATATAAGAATGTAGACATCTCTTAGACACACTGATTTCAAGTCCTTAGGATCTGTACCCAGAAGTGGGATTGCTGGATTATGTGGTAATTTTATTTTTGGCTTTTTGAATAACTTCCATACCATTTTCCATAATGGTCGTTCTAATTTACCTTCTCACCAACAGAGCACAGGAGTTTCCTTTTCTACACATACATATTCCACTTTTCACGAAGCCTCTCAAATTTCCTCCTAGAATGCTTTTCAAATATATTCCCTTTTCTTCTTTTCCTTTGCCACTGCTTCAGTCCAAGATTTTGTCGTTTTCTGACTTGACTGCTGTAATGACCTCCTCTCTATTCTCTTCTATTCCATCCTTCCTCTTTCCCAATCCATTCTTCACACTGATCCAGAGTGATTCATGATGAACTCACGTGATGTCAAGTTATTCACCATTGCCCTTAAAATCCAGAATCTTCAACATAGTCCACAAGGTACCATCTAACCCTTGGCTACCTCTCAAGCTTCACATTCCTCCTGTTCTCAGTGTGTCAGCCATGTTGACCTGAAGACTTTGCATGCTATTCTTTTTTCTTTGAGATAGAGTCTCGCTCTGTTGCCCAGGAGCACAATCATGGCTCACTGCAACATTCACCTCCCAGGTTCAAGCGATCCTTCTGGCTCAGCCTCCCGAGTAGGTGGGATTACAGGCACCCACCACCACACCTGGCTAATTATTTTTGTATTCTTAGTAGAGATGGTATTTCACCATGTTGGCCAGGCTGGTTTCGAACTCCTGACCTCAGATGATCTGCCTGCCTTGGCCTCCCAGTGCATGCTCTTCATTCTGCTATTTCACCGTGTTTGCCAGGCTGCTTTCGAACTCCTGACCTCAGATGATCTGCCCACCTTGGCCTCCCAGTGCGTGCTCTTCATTCTGCTTGAAGTGTTCTATCAATTATTTGGCTGACTCCTACTCATGTACCAAATTCAACTTAAATGTTCCTTCCTCAGAAAATTATTTTCTGATCCCTAAGGGTATCTCTCTTATAATATTTCATCATGCTGTTTACCCTTTCTCCATGGCCTTTATCCAGTTATGTAGGTATATATTCATACACTTCTTTATTTAACATCTGTCTCTTCCATAAGGGTCCGGGTCAGTCTTGTGTTCCACTTAATCATGAGTACCTAGCACGGAACATGACATAAAGCAGGACCTCAATTGATATATGTTGACTGGATGATTGAAAAGGAATCCAGGCTGGGCTCACTTTGACACAGAGGTATTTAATGGCATAATATGTCATATTTCAGATAGCCAGGTTTCCTTTCAGGATTCTATACTGTGACCTTGGAACTGAACCAGCTGATTTTATGGTAATGAGGCCTTTCAAATTGTCAGCATGTGTATACTTCTGTTTACACTGTTGACCTTTGGTTTGGAGACCTCCTGTCCTCCTGTCCAAACCTATTAGCTGACATGTGAGATCTTTCTGATATTCACAGCTAGCCACATCATTCAGGAAAGCCCATGAATTTTCCTGTCCCCTGACTGCTATGTGCATGGGAAACATTGCCTTTTCACTGTGGTAGTTATAGCCATATATGGTTGGTGTTCACTTGTATCATGGTACCAAACTAGAAGTGTTTTGAAGGTCAATAAACTTGGAGCTGTAAGAACCAAGGAGATTGTTTTCTCTTTCTTAGAATAATATAATATTAGAACTGGCGAGTACCTTATAGCACTAACCCAAACCTTTATTGTACAAGTAAGAAATTTGAAGCCCATAGAAGTAAAGTAATTTCTCCAAGGTCAAACAGTTGTGCGACCCCTTTGTTCACTATGCCCTGCATTTGTCTTAGGGACAAAAAATGTGCCAACTGACTTTAGGCTGATTTTTGGAATTTTTTTTCTAAGTTGTAAAGAGGTAGAGCAAAACAAAGACAGGGATGAAATGGGGGAGGGGACATAAATGTTCTTTGTGATATAAGGGGAAGACTCTATTTTTTGTCTCTTAAAATTGTGATCATAATTGCAATTAGGTAAGGATACCTAATTGCACAACTTTCCTTGGTCCACAGAAGTCATATGAACATAAATTCTAAAGGAAGTCCTAAAACACAGTCTCCAAACCCATTATTATGATGCTTACTATTAAGACAATTAGGTATGAATGTTGTTCTCTTATGGACACAATTCCCTTTGAAAAAGAATGTTGCTGGTGAAAATGAGATTAATCTTCGCCTTCCTGAGAAGACCTCAGCTGTTTCTTCACTTTTTAATAAAATGGGTTTACCAATTTTGTCTTCAGTGAAATAGTTTTCATTTCCTGTCTTGAAACATGTTTGCAGTATTTGTATGCTGAGGTTGAATTTTGTTTAGTGGTAGTTGAGTTTCAAGAGCAATATTGCAAAAGATCCTGCCAGTCTAATCGGGAGAGCAAGTTTTGTTGGCTATACTTCCTACCATAACGGAAACTTCCCTGACTGAAATTGATGGGGAATGAGTAAATGTAAGTTGTCTTTGCTAAAATATCAGGTAGTGATATTTCCTGTATGAAGTATTGACCTATGCATTAATTAGAAATATTTCTGATCAACACCCTTACCATCCTGTAAGGGTGAGCTCATTCTTTCTCACTTTGCAAAAGTTCATTTGTCTTATCTCATAGCACCTTATGAGAGGCGCAGGCATGTGAAGAGAGGTAGAAATTTTGAAAGTACCTGTTTCTGAAACTCCTATAGTTATAGGAATCAGGTGTGAGAGCTCCCCACTATTCAATAAGTCCTTTGCTACTTAAGGGAAAGAAGCCCTAAAGGGTGGCAGCATTTTTCTTTAAGCTCCCATATGTGAGGGCCCAAAGAGAACCACATATAATTGGGAACTTTTCAACTGAGTCTGTTCCAACTGAAACAAGGAAGGGAGTTACTATTCACTGAGCAATTACTATGTGGCAGACACTGTACTAAGCGCTTAATAGGATTACCAAATTACAGGACTCCAGGAAGCATCACTCACATTGCACTTGGTATAAAATGTACCAAGGACAGTTGTGCAATTAGATATTCTCACATTTATTATCACAATTATACATCTGTCCCATAGATACCCACACCAATAAATGAGTCCTTTGGCTTCCAGTTTTTGTTTTTTTTAAATTGGAAATCCAACTAGAAGATTGGAAGAAAGAATGAGGTCAGGGTGTACGTTCCCCTGCCCCTTTCTCTGCAAGGTCACCCTGAGCTGGTTATATTACTGATCTTCTCAAGGTAGCCTCTTCTATATGACCCTTTTCCTCTGGGCTCTGTCTCCTTCTATTTTCCCTTTGTACATATGGGTTACTGCAATGTCCCTTGATGGTCTGCTGTATCACACTCATCCTAATTTCGGTGTGCCATCTATTTCCTATGAGGACCTTGACTCAACAGGATGAATGCTTTCTGATTAGAAAGTTAAGGCACTTTCCACTACCTCTTGTTAACAACCATTGGAAAGTGCCAATACTTTAACATGACTATCTATTGAATTAAATGAAGTCACTCGCTGCTGGCAAGACCTCCAGGGGATGCATCTTAAGTTCCTACTTGTAAAATCTCCACAGTACATTTGTAATAGCACTTGCAGACAAGAGGACCTGTCCTGCATGTGGATCTTATACATGGTGCTCAAGTGATTGCCCATTGATACACAATAGAATAGTACTTCCTATGAAAAGTGTTCTCTGCTCCCAGAATCTTGTCAGGCAGCCAATACCACCAATGCAGATTCATTCAATAGCAGTAAGGCTTTGCATCTCCAGGAGAGCTCCTTTAAAGATTAAAAACCCCTGACAGGGGTACTCACTTTTGACAGAATGGATAATTAGTTGGTGAGCTTTCCAAAAATAGAGGTAGGCAGAAAAGAATGGGACACAGAAGGGGGTGAATTTTGATAAGGGAGGGAGAATGTGCGAAAGAACAGCATTTGGGGCTTTGCTGAAGGGGCAGATCCTTGCAGATCTGTGAGGGATTTCCCTTGGAGGCCAAGGGCACTGTCTAACAGAGGCCCTGTGAAGACATGGAGAAGGGGCAGAAATCAGACGTGAGACTGCTGATTTTTTATGTATTTCCCAACAAAAGAGAAGCCCAAAGCAGACAGATTTTTATGAGTGAGTCTCAAACTGGAGGGGGTCCCCAAGAAGGAATAAGAAGGGTGAAAAAGTTTTGGAGGGGATGTACCAAAGATCATTCAAATCCTGGTCTTTACCTGGGATCTCTAGTCCCTAGTGGGCTTAGTGTTTGTAATAAGGTGGTATCTGTTCTACTTATCTGGCATGAATGAATGAGCAGCAAGTAAGTGCTGCCACCAAATGATTGGTGTTTTCTAACACAGGATCTGAAAATCTTTTTTTTTTTTTTTTTTTTTTGGTGAGGACAAGTTGGGGACTGATGATTGATGAAGAAAGGAGAAGAGGAGAAGATGACAGGATACATAAAATTTAAACCTCACTGAACTGAGAAATCTTAACCAGCCCAGAAGCAGGGACATTTCTCTCTTTTCAAGGCCTCCTTGATGGAGAGGGGACCTTGATCTAGAAATCAGAGTGGCTTCTTTGCAACTGTAGTTTAAAAGACTATCTAGATCTGCTTTTCCTCAGCTATTCCTAGGACTAGCCCTCTCTACAGGACACCATCCAGAGCCTCCTCACTTATGGTAAATATCAGAAGCCAGGCTTCAATGCAGAAGCAGCCAGCTGCTGCTCATTCCCTTCCATTTTTCATGTCCCGACAAAGGTGTCAGGGAAACAAAAGCTTCTCAAATGGCAGCTTCCCCTAGCACATGCCTGGAGGCCTGACACCCTCCCATCTATACCAGTCTTGCCTGGCTGGGGTGTGGACAGCACAGTGGTCACTTCAGGATGTTTGCTCTAACAAGCATGGCCAAGTATAGGCATAGACAGGACACAGTTCTGTTTCCTTGTGGTGATCACACCTCAGGCACATTCACTTGAATACAGCGTCAGGTCTGGAGGTAGAGTTGGGAATGGTTTTTAAGGCTAGTCACTGCCAGGATGTTGTTGCTTTTTCAGGTTCCTGTTTGTAACAGATGGGTGATTTGCACTATTGAATGGCAAAGAAAAAAAGGCATTGGGGGTCACTGGCTTGAAAGGCTTGCTCCTTTGAATAGATTTGGGCTGCTTTCACGATAAAATTCCCTTAAAATTTTTATAGCCAAGTAGATTTAAAGCAGGAATTACAAAGCTTTTGTGTTAAATACAATCCTAATCATATCTGCATTTTTTTTAAGAAAAGAGGACTGTTGTAAATTTTAGATAACCTGTACTGTAATTCATGGATATGGTATACATTAATTATGGTATAATTAATACATGCTTATTCTGGATTTTGAACAGCGATATCATATAAGAACTCATGTTTACACATTTTGCTTAATGCTTTAAAACATAATCCTTCCTGTTTCTCTGATATAAAAGTAATATATGCATGTTCATTAAAAACCTAGAAAACTTTATTTACAACTTAGAAAATACCAAAATTCGCAATGCTAAAAATTAAAATCACCTATAATCCCATGACTGTGAAAGAAATTAACATTAACATTGTGGTGTATTTTTCTCTAGGCTTTTATCTCATGCATACATCCAATTTTCTTTAGCGGTTTTCATATATACAGTTAATGACATCAATAATGCAAATAGAAAAAATATCAAAACTACTTTTCTTGCCTATTTCTAAGGTTGTCCTTGAATGAGTGTTCTCTCAAGCATGATCCAGCTACTTCTATGTCCTGCTACAAAGACAAAGCCAGAAAACCATGGTGGCGATGAGGGAAGTAGAGACAGGCAGAGAAAAAAATGAAACTCTGGTTAAAACTAAGAACAGAGGATAAACTGTCCTGCTGAATGTATTTGGATAATTGTTTTACACAGGGGACAAAAAGATTATTTCTTTGATTGATTGATTAATTCATCAGTTAACAAAAATTGATTGGCTTCTTAATTTGAGCCAAGCACTGAACTTGGCAATGGGGTAAAAATACAAAAAAGGTATACCCTTGACCTCCAAGAGCACCCAGTCTGGAGTAGGATCAGATAAATAACTCTGCAATGACATGAGATGTCATGACAGTAGTAATTGAGCCACATGAGTGAGTGAAAGACAAGTATTTGTAGTGGTAGGAAGGAAAGAAACATGGAGATGTGATGGGAGAAGGGCTCTGTGTGCTATATTAGGGAGTTTGCTCTTAATCATGAAAGTGCCTGGGATCCACTGAAAGATTAGAGAGGGATGTTAAATGATAACTTTTGTATTTTAGCCAACACAGTTGGAAACACACAAGACTTTGATGACAGACAGATGCATGACTCTCTGAAAAGCAAAACAAAACCAACCAAAAAACAAACGAGAAAACAAAAAAGATTCTTTGAATCTTAATTTACCCATCCGTAAAATAGGAATGATGATGACTATTTGCAAGGTTGTTATGAATATTAAATAAGATAGTAAATTATAAATAAAAGTCACTGAAACTTAATAGGTGGTCAGTAAATGGCACTAGCTATTGTTAGTTGCAAGGCATGCAAGGTCCTTTAGGCCAGCTTGTTCTGTCTTGCTCCTTCCTCTCTCCCACACCCTAATTCTATAACTCAATTCTGTACCCCTCTCTTATTACCCCATCCTCAGACCCCTACTCCTTCGCCCAAGCTGTTCCATCTCTCCAGTGGGCTTTTTATCTTTCTATTGCCTGCTTTAAAACTACAACCCATCCTTCAAGACTTGACTCAAATAGTCACCTTTCTCTAGGGTATTAAAGGAATTTTGGAGACAGAAGAGAAATGGAACATTTCTCACTCAAAATTGGGAGACTGAGTTTAAAAGGGTGGGATTATCAGTCTCTGACATTTTGCTTAGTGAGGTTTGCAGGTACCAACTTTAAAATAATTCATTCCCACTTAAAATAGCTGAACATCAAAGTGTGCTCCTCTGTTGGAAAGTCCACGGATTGGTAACTGACTCAGGGATATAAGTTTTCATTTCTGGGTTCATCTCCTCCTTCCCCTTCTCAAGAAACTTTTCTTGTTTTACTGACATTTTTATTCTCCTATATCCTCCTATATCTCCACATGTTTCTTTTCATTATAATTGTTTTCGTATTTCATGTTGTTCATATCTTTATTTTCAAATTTATTTGTTACAAGGATTATTATTTTTCATCTTAAATTCTTAGTGTGTCGGTTCTAGTAATTCCGCTTCGATCAACAAATGTTTATTGTTGAATTGTCTTTGTTTTTTTACAATGCTTGTCACAGGCTAACTCAGAAGGAAGACAGCAAAGACAGTTAAAAGTTTCTCTCCATCCCAGTTTTTCACTGCCAGCATTCCATCACCTTGGGGTTTCTCACAATTTTTTTGTTAACCCCTCTGACTCACACCTGCCTCTTCTTTCTCTAAATTCTCCATGGTTAATTCTATCAGAGAGAGCCCAACAGCTCATGCTAGTTGGCCATCTTATTACTTACCTTTAAAAATTACACTTTGTTTTATTTAACTTGTGTATAGTAAGTTTAAATTGTGTGTGTATGTGTTGTGTGTTTGTTTCTATTAGTCTCTTTATTCCATCTGCAGAGAAGAAAGAATCAATTGTGTTTCTGACTTTCTCACTCTCCTGTCCAGGAAGGTGGAAAATATGTCTCATGTCCCTAGGTTCCCTGAAATTCTCAATAAATGCAGGATAATATGGTGACTAGTCACCAAAAGTCAGAATGCCTATGTTTATTTCTCAAGTGTTCATTTGATGTGTAGCCCTGGGGAGGCTGCCCAGTCAGAAACTTAATACTTTCTAGATTAGGAGTGTCTTAGTGCATCCTACAGAGGGTTGATGCAAGAATTCGAGGCATTTACACATGTATGTATTTTAGAATAGTGTTGGCCACATCATAAGAATACATTGATGTATTTTCTCTTCTTTCTCTTCCTATTTTTTTCTCCCCTATCCCCAAACCAAATTTTGTCATTCAGGCAGAAGGGTACAAATCTTTTTTCTTTCTCCAAGGAGAATCTTTTGAGCACAATGGTAAGTTTATTTTTTTATGTTGTGTACTAGTTGATGGAAATTCACAGATGGAAAGATGGAGGGCCTATACCCTCATGGAGGTTATGGTTTTGTGGAGAAAGCAGGCAAAAGTTACTTGATGAATTTGATCAAATGACCTAACTGTGCTGACATCACGGTGATCCCAGGGTGTTAGGAGAGCATTGAGGTGGGACAGCCAACTCAGCCTAGGAATGACTCTGGGCGGCTCTGGCTCCTTGGCCACCCAGATGTTTGAGCTGAAATGTGGTATGTTGTGTGGGTTTGTGTGTGTGTAGAGTGCAAGGGGGAAGAGAAGGGCATCCAAAGCAAAAGGAAAGTACAAAATTATGAGAGAGAGAGAGAGAGAGAGAATATGAGAACAAGAGAGAGAGAATCAGAGAGAGAGAGAGACTTTTAGCAATCTCAAAATGACGAGAGGAAGGAATCCACAGGTTTTGAGAGTGAAACTTCTTTATGAAGATGAATTCACAGAAAAATTCAATGTGAAGAGAAAAATCTTGCAATCAGTGCTTGTGCCTGAAAAACAGGATCTGTCCTGACTTAAGCTGTGCTTCAAGGTTGCTACTAACAAGGTTACAGTACCATTTGGAAAAACCAAAGAAGAGGTGGGAGCTGAAGGAGAACAGAGAGCATGTTGCATTTGTGATCCTGCTGTTTGAGCCCCAGGGACATATAAGTCACCAAGTCATTCCATCAGCTGGTTGATAACACTCACGTTTACACTGATTAGTTTAGGGGTTTAATTTCCTTTATAGCCAAAAAGTATAGTTTATGTCACCATTGTTTCTATTACATCCTTTCTAGGGACTGAAAATACTATTACTGGTCTAGACACACCTCTATACTAGTGGTTTTCAAATTTTGATGCATATTAGAATAGCCTAAGGAATTTTTAAAAATATCAACATTCAAGCCTTACTCTATTTAAATTAGAATATCTGAGATAAAACACAGGTGCCAGCATTTTTTTTAAAAGATCTCCAAGTGATTCCTGGGTGCAGCAAAGTTTTGGAACCACTGCTATACACATTTCAAGATAATTTAGTATTTTCTTTACATTCTAGATCCTTTCACTCTCCTGTTTGGTAATTTTTGTGATTTACATTAAATCATTTCTATGATGATGTCTATGATATTTGGTGAAGTGCTTGAGCTAAGTTCACGGCTGAATTGAGTGGTATGACTCAGTTTCTGCTTCTCTTGCCTTATCCCTCCCACTCCTTCTTCACTGATAAGGTTGGAAGTTGGGATGGGGGATGAAGATGAATACCTATCCAGGGAAGGAAACAAATAAGGACTTAGCAGCTGTAAGGGAGACAAGATATGTCATGTGGCTATCGTTAGCTATACTTCTGATGAGAAGAGTACAGGACTTTTGTTCTTTCACTGTCCTTGATGAGTCCCCAGGGGACACGTAATGTCTGGAAGACCCTGCAAGTAGCCACTATCACAAGGTGAACCACTGACCAAAATCTCTCTTGAGTCTCCTGTTCTGTTGAATTAAGCTGGGCCACGTAAGAGTCAGGAGGGTCCCTTTGGTCTTTTGGATTCAGAGAAGAATAAGGCAGCCACTGGCCCCTTGGTCCCTTTAGTCTCTCATTCTGGGTCTTACTTTTGGTGGAGAGAGGAGGATTAGAAAGAAAACCTTGGGGTGGTATGGGAGTCATTTTACTTAGGGCCTGGGGCTTAGCTGACATGAGCCACTAGCCCACATGAGGCATCTTTTACCCCAGACCCCTCTTTGGTTCTGTTGGATTTTTTTTTCTATTTTTTTTTAATTTTTTTTTTTTTTTTTTTTTTTTTGAGACGGAGTCTAGCTCTGTCACCCAGGCTGGAATGCAGTGGCATAATCTCGGCTCACTGCAGCCTCCACCTCTCAGGCTCAAGTGATTCTCCTGCCTTGGCCTCCCAAGTAGGTGGTACTATAGGCATGCATCACCATGCCCAGCTAATTTTTGTATTTTTAGTAGAGACAGGATTTCACCATATTGGCCAGGCTGGTCTCAAACTCCTGACCTCAAGTGACCCACCCACCTTGGCCTCCCAAAGTGCTGGAAATACAGGCGTGAGCCACTGCGCCCAGCCAGTTCTGTTGGATTTTCTGCACATCCCCTGCCTCTCACAGGCCTTATAGTCCCTGCTCCACATTCTCAGAACTAGTGAGATCTCTCTGCACAGTGCAAGAGTCCTGAGGGAGCAGATAGAATGTTTGGTGACAATATTTTATACATACATACACACAAACACACATTTTTGCCTCTGTTTCTTTGGTAATACTATCAGCACAAAAGAGGACTACGATAAAGCAAAAGTTATTTGTAGCAGGCTTTTTCATTGAACTAAACTCTGACTTTCAAGTAAAAATAAAGTTAATTCATTTTTAAACCTCCCATGAGCTAATTTCTTTACAGAACTTGCCAAAGAGTCCCACATGTTCAATGAACTGGTCCAACTTATAATTAAACCTATTTGTTTTAAAGGTTTTGGCCCAAACCAAAATATACAAACAACTTTTAACATGAACCATTTTAATTTACAGTCTTGATCTATAATAATTATTTATCTTTAAATCATAGTTCTTTCAAATTATCTGAGCTTTAAGTGTGGGCACTTGGGCATTTGCTATTAATATATTCTAGACCACAGGACAGGAGACATAGAAACAGACATAACACTTTTAGAGGATACACTATATTTGTTATTATGCTTGCTTCTTTTATGTCTATTCTCTCCTCTAATTCTCACAATAGTCTTGGGAGGTAGCTATTACTATCTTTCTTTTTAGAATAAGAAAACAGAGGAACAGAGAAGTTATGTCACAACTAGAGAATGTTTAACAAATTAATGCCCGTGAATTTCCAAAGCACTTTCAACCATATGTTATGTAGCACCCAAATGATACTCATCCATTTGAGCATCTCATGCCCTCCAGATGCAGCATGCTGTTTCCATGTTTTCACCATTCTTTGATAACTGGTCATACAGATGGGCATTTCCTGTCTTCTTTTCTTAGCCTCTCCAAATTTAGATCAGGCTCTTGGCTTTAGCTTAAGACCTGTCTCTCTTAGTTTATGGATGAGGTAGTGATGATTCTGTGTAAAGCCACTAAACCAGTTCTGGCATGAAGAAGGCTGCTTGTGTTCTTCACAATAGCGAAGGCATGGAATCAACCTAGGTGCCCATCAACAGCGGATTGGATAAAGAAAGTGTGGTACATATACACCATGGAATACTACACAGCCATATAAAAGAACAAAATCATATCCTTTGTAGCAACATGAATGCAGCTGGAGGCCATTATCCTGAGTGAATTAATGTAGGAACAGAAAACCTTATACCACATGTTCTCACTTGTAAATGGAAGGTAAACACTGGGTACTCATGTACGTAAAGATGGCAACAATAGAAACTGGAGACTACTAGTTGGGGGCAAGGGTTGAATAACTGACTATTAAGTACTATGCTCAGAATGTGGGTGGGTGATGAGATCCATCACACTCCGAACCTTAGCATCATACAATATGCCCCGGTAACAGACCTGCACATGTGCCCCCTGAATCTAAAATAAAAGTTGAAATTATATCAAAAAGAGCCTGCTTGATAAATATTACCTCTCTTCTCTCTTCTCTCTAGTTTGGACCAAAGCATGTCTATCTTCTCTGGGCTTTGTGATCACTGACTTGGTCTTTGCTAATTACTTTGACGATTCATCATGTATCTACTTGCAGAACTCTCTTTTATATTAACCCTAGTAACATAATGATTGTTTAGCACTTACTCTATGCTCTATATCTGCATTGTTGCTCACTGAATCCTCACAACAGTGCTAAGGTGAATCCTGTTATTAGTTCTATTCTGCAGATGAGGAAACCAAAGTACACCTTGCCTATCATTATGGTTAGTAAACCATGGAGGTAGAAAATGAACTCAGGATATCTGATTAAAAAAGCCTATACATTTACATATCATACTCTAGTTCCTTCCTTGAATAAATATTTCATGTACTTGATCACTCTGAAAGTTTTTCAAAGGCAGTGACCACGTTTTGTTATTTCAGAGCTCCTCATGGCACACGATCAAGTATTGGGCATATGGTAGGCGCTAGGTAATCAATAAGTTGAATTTTAGGGGTCTTAGGGATAAAGAGAGAGTATCTATGACTATGAACATCTCTTTCCAGTTATCTGTGAAACTTATTTGCTACTTGGACTGTTCACCTCCAGTGAAATAGACAAACACTAAGACTGGAGTCTGAGAGACCTGAGAGTTAAAGAACGTACTCTGGTGTTCTAATCCAGTTGGTGGTGGAAGTAGGAATAGTTTGGTGCTTTTTGCCCAGAAGTGACATCATTTCTTCTTGGGGGAAGTGAGTTTCTGAGATGCAGAGGCAAAGTTGTCACTCTTGTCACCCACCCTTTGGTGCCACCCAGTAAGTGTCAACTGTGTGGGAGCAATGTTGTCAGCCCATCAGGTGTGGACAGGAGGCCTTTGTTCTGCTCAACAGCTTAACTTCTGGTTATGCCATACCACTGTAAGGATACCAGACCATCAGACATCTTCTTTAGCTTCAGCCATTTACCATGTAAATCTGTCTTTGAGGCAGTATCAGTGACAAGCTCAATTTGCGGAGAGGGAGGAAGGAGAATCGAGGAGCAGTGCCCTTCTAGATGAAATGCTTGGAGTCTTACACCCATGAACATTTGGTTCTGAGATTTGACAAACAAATGATGAACATTTGTTTCAGAACATTTGGTTCTGAGATGACACCATAGATCATATTTGTTATATTTCTAGGTCAACTGACATTTTAAGGGCCTAGTTCCTGGTTCCGGAGATTTTTTTTCTTATCAGCATCTGAAGCCACTGATTTTTTTTTTTGTATTTAAAATGTTTTTATTATAGAAAATTTCAAAATAATAACCACTGACTTTAAAATACCCCCACACCCAAGATATCTGTCATCAGTTGATTTAGGAGGCTCCACTTCCAGTCTGTCCTGCCTTGAATATTTGTCAAACAGTCCTTGATCCTTAGCCACTAGGACTTTGCAGACATGTAAACTAATAGCTATAGCATGTAAGTGATAATTAGTGTGAGAGAAAGCTAAACCAGAACTGTAGGAACACAAATTAAGGAGTGACTAACAAAGGTAAGGGGGAGGTCGTGAAAATTTTGTCAAGGGATTAAAATTGGGCCAGGAAGAGAAATAAACGAGTAAAAATGTTTTCATGTTAATAAATCTACATATAATTCCATAGGCCTTCTAGGACTTGAAAGTACGAGAAGGAAAATGAGAATAGAGCAATTTACAGTGTCTGGAGAATAGTGGGCCTGATCAATAAAGGTAGGAAAAATCAGTGATTCTAGGCTAAGAAATGTAGGCTTTGGCCTGCAGCATTTATGAATCCACAGAAGGATGTTGGGCAGCGGAGTGACCTGATCAGATTTGAGTTTAACAATTTGCCAAACATCCCTAAGCAACTCACACCTGCTGACTGCAATGAGGAATAAATTACAATGGATCCAGGCTGGGGAGAATGAGAGAAGTGACTCTGACTCATTTGAGGTTTGTTTCCTTAGCTTTTGCCTTATCTCTATTACTGCTTTCTTTTAATTAAATTTTGTCTATTTTAAAAAATTCATATATTCACTGATTCACTTGCTTATTATAGTTTTCTTTATAAGTATCACCTAGTTCGATGTTAAAGATAATCTAAAAGGGTGTTGGTCCTTTAGTAAGAGAATTTTACCTCTTCATGATCAATAACATATTATATAGGTTGACGCTATTTCTGCCACCTATTATTTACTTTTTAAGTAAAATTTTATCTGAGTACAACAAACATACAGAATAGTGCACACATTGTAAATATACAGCTGGGTGAATTTTACAAAGCAAACCCTCCTAAATCAAGATGTAGTTTATTTCTGCACTCCAGAAGCCTTCTTGTATCCCTCCCATCATTGCATTCACAAAAGGTAACCATTGTTCTGCCTTTATCATTTGGCCTGGTTTTCAACTTCACAAAATTGGGATCATACAGCATGTACTGTTTTGTATTTAGCCTATTTTGTTTAACATTATGTCTAGATTTATCCATATTGGCACGTGTATCAAACTGTCCTCCATTTTCATTGCTATATGGCATTCCATCTTATGAATTGACCACGATCTAGTTATTCCCCATCCTTTTCTTAGGCTGCATGTTGCTGTTGTTATTTCTAATTTACTCATTCAGGATTGGAAAGAAATCTATCCAGCTGGCATTTACCAGTGGACAGATTAAGTGGAGTCTCATCAATCCTCTTCACTATTCACTTAGTGCTAGCATTTGCTACTTCTCAGTTGACTATCTGAAGGTCACCTTGATATACCTGACTTAAGTTGCTGAATCCAGCAGGCATTTATTTAGAGTAGACCTTCCAGGCTAGAGCTGGAACTCTGACTTAACCACAAGCTCAGCACCCAGTGTAGTACATGAAAGACAGCACCTCCTACACTGCACTGTTTCCTGGGCATTCTCACTTCGGCTCCCTACAACACTTTTCATAGTAAATAAAATATTCCCAAATGCAATATGCCTCTACCTGTTATTCTTTAGCCTCTAGCATTTTAAAAATGCTTTTTCTTCTCTGTTAATCATTTGTCTTCTAATGTGTTTCATGTGTCTTCTAATGTGTTTTTGTGATTAAATAATTTTGGGAAATATTATACACCATATCTCCTTTTTGGAGATTCACAGTGCAAATTAACATAGTAATGGCTCTAAAATGTCCTGTTACAAAAAAACTGTTTTATGTTATAAAGTCTACCATTGTTCCTTTTAAGATTATCTATTAGCACCTCATAGAATAACAGTTCCCTAGCACACAGCTCTGTAGAAAACAGCCAGAGGAAACTCCACGTGTGGTTTTTTTTGCTTATTTGTTATTTGTTTTTTCCTTTCCGGTATGATTGTCAGCTTCTGAGTCTGTCTATGGCTATTTTAATGGAAATATGGCAGAGAACAAGCAAACTTAATCTTTTCTAAATATTTGTTTGCCTGTTCATTTCTCCATCAGCCTGGAAACTCCATGAAGATAGAAACCTTGTCTTTTCATCTTTGTATCTGCCAGTACCTACCATGGTTCTCAGCACATACTCGAAGTATTAAATAAATATTTTGTGTCTAAATGAGCGTGATATCACATTCTGGGACTTCCAGCATTAAGGGACTCAAACTGAACTGTAAAATGAACCTAGATCTTGAGGTATGTAAGGGGAGGAAGAATAACATTATACACAAAATCCTGCACTTTTGAGTTTAAAAAATCTGACTGAATTCTGCTTCCTCCATTTTTGGGTTGTGCAATCTAGCAATTTATTTAGATTTTCTGAATCTCAATTTTCTCATTTGTAAAATGGAAACAATATCAACAGCTACCTTCCATAACTCTTGAAAGGATTAAATTTGATCGTATTATGGGAAGCACTGGGACAGACACATAATTACCCAAAAATGCTTGTCCATGAGTATTACTCTTGCCTGTGAGTATTCTACATCTGGTGCTTGTTTCTCTGGTCTCTCTCTACCCACCCTGGGAACTGCATGTTTTCTTGTACTGGAGTTCTTTTCACATTCAGTGAGAACTAGAAATCCACAGAATTCTCAGCTGCCATACACAAGGCATCTGCCAGATTTCCTACTCATCTGATAATGTCTTCCACAGTCTTGCCCTGGTCCACTGACTTGATCAATTCAGCCAATGTTCCCTTCTGCAGCAAGAGGCCCTCTGAAGTTTCTCTGTGCTAGTGGAGAGATCTTGTGTCTTTCTTTTTCTATCTATTCCTGTCAAACTCCTTCAGTGAATATGCATTTCTCACATTGTTATGTGAAAGCAACCCCACCTGGTATTCAGACTGAAGAAGTCTCACTATTAAAGAGTGAGAGAGAGAGAGAGAGAGAGCAAGAACATATGAATTTGGTGTGTGTCTGTGTATGAATGTTGACATGCCGACACCACTCCTTCCATGTCTGTAGTGGCTTTCCTCCTCCCCAAAGCATCACTCAAATGTCTGTGATAGCTGGTCATGAGTCTGATTGCAGCGACAAACACGATGTATCTTCCAACATGTCCTCCCTTTCAAACATCCCTCTCTTCAACTTCAAAAACACTCGGCTCACATGCTACATCTTCCTAAATTCTAGTCTCTTCTTTGTTTTCATCCATAGCAACACTAGCGAGGTCATTTACCACAAAGCTTATGTCATCCCACTTGGAAACTTTTAGCAGAAACATGATTACACATTGGACATAAAGGTACTGCCACGTTAGAAAGAAATTCTGAGGAGAGCTTTGCTCCAATATTGTCCCCAAGGTCTTTCCTCATGAGTTGCCACTTCACTCCTCCATGCATGTGGATTGCAGACATTGCTAGTGAATCATGCTATTCATTCTCATCCTGTCTCCACAAGTAAGATGGGCAGTCACCACCAATCAACAGGCACTGGCAGATGATGAAAAGCCTAGCAGCTAAACTTGAGCCTGTTAAGTCTTTTGAGCACTTCCGCATCCAGTCTCCACCAAATAGGGCAATGACAGACTTATCTTATAAAAGAGTCCTGTTTTCATGAGTTGCTTTGTTCTTTAGAAAAAACAAAGAAAACAAACAGTAGTTCAGTATGTCCAGTGCATGTCACTAGCCACAAGTTGCTATTTCAATTTAAATTAAAAAAGTTAATTAAAAATATATCTCCTCAATTGCCCTAGCCACAGTTCAAGTGCTTAATAGACACGTGTTACTAGTAGCCGCTGTATTGTCCATCACCAATACAGAATGTTTCCATCATTACACATATTTCTACTGGGCAATGCTGAACTAGAGATTGTGCTCTTTATCCTGAAAAGGTATTTCTTTTTATACTTTGTTATCTGTTCAACCCCCTCTTCTTTCCCAAAACACACCATGTTGTCCTCTGCCAACTAAGCAAAAGCATGTCAATTAAAAAAGTACATGAAGCAATTCTTAAAGGAGACAGAGTGGAAGCAGAACAAGACCCATAAGTAGATCAGTTATCATGCTTTCTCAAGTAAACTGGCTTCTGGCTTCATATGTTGTCTGTCGTTTCTCCCTTTGAACATAAGAATAATCCTGCTCTGTTTTTTTTTTTTTTTTTTTCTAACTGGAAACACAAAATCCACGTTGTGAGCCCCCCAGCTTCCTGTTAACGTGACCCTAGTGGAAGAATCCAAACTATGATTTTATTAAGAAGGTAAAATAACTGAACAAAAGAAGACTAAGATTTGATCTTTCTACTTGGTAAATTTAGTTGCCTGAGAAACAAGAGTAAATTATTTCAGTGCCAAAATAATAAAACATTATTTAAGTTTGCTTTTTCTCTCTCGTTCAGGAACTATAGTTGCCTTTGGTATGCCGGGAAAAGGAGGGGCTGTGACAGGAAGAAGATAGTCATTTATACGATTTCTCTTGCGATTTAGTTCAAATTTAACTCTTAAAACTTTCTGTCAGCATTTAAAATTATTCGGTTACACTTATACATTAAATTCTTCTCCTGAAGATGGGAAACATTTGAGTGCTATAAAGTTAATATAAATGTGATGCAATAAACATAGTTACTTTCTGGAGAAATCTCATCTTTATGAATCATTGTTAGAGTCAAAATTGTAAGGCCAGAATTCCTAAGAACATCAATGTATCTGATTCCATATGCACATTTCCCCAAGAAGTTGTTTTTCAGGAAATGAGATTTCTGCTAGATTTTTTCTTTTGGTCTCTCCGTTGTCTCAAATTATAAAGTTCAGGAAATGATTGAAGTAATTATTTATTGCATCTGAGAGATTTGGTATGGTATGTTCCAGAAAAACATTCATGTATGCATATTGTCCATTTTGAATGCATATGACAATTGTCATATTGTTAATTCATGTACTCATATTGTTGTATTATTCATGAAAACCATGGCCTTTTGTGTTTCATGTGGTTTGTATCTGTGTTTGCTGGGTGTTGTAGCTCCACCATCTATAACTCCTCAAATGCTCAGTGTTTGAAATAATCAGAGGAGGGACCTTAAGTTCTTAGACCCTCAACTTGTTGATGAAGCTACCATTACATATAGAGTGACTTGAGCAGCCTTGGGAATAAAGGAAGTAAAGTGAATTTTTAAGCACTGCCAGAGCACAATCTCAATACATACACTACACCTTAGAGATTTATTGGGATTGGAATAGGGTTGAAGTTTGCCTTGGCATGGTCTAAAAAGAAAGTAATTGTTAAGCAAATTACAAATCATCTTATAAGAATTGGTCAAAAACACAGGCTTCAGAGGCCACTAGACCCAGGTTTAATTCCTGGCTGTGTCACTTACTATGACATTGGGATAAGTTATTTAACCACCACATCCATAAAATGAGGCTGACAATACTGATCTCAAGAAGTTGTCTCAAGGAATAAATAAAACAGTGTGTTTTATTACTGTAGTTAATATTAGTAGCTAGGAAAGCAAGTTTTTATTTTATTTTATTTTATTTTGAGACAGAATTTCACTCTTGTTGCCTAGGCTGGAGTGCAGTGGCGCAATCTCGGCTCACTGCAAACTCCGCCTCCTGGGTTCAAGCGATTCTCCTGCCTCAGCCCCCTGAGTAGCTGGGATTACAGGCATGCACCACCACACCCAGCTAATTTTGTATTTTTAGTAGAGACAGAGTTTTTCCATGTTGGTCAGGCTGGTCTCGAACTCCCAACCTCAGGTGATCCACCCACCTTGGCCTCCCACAGTGCTGGGATTACAGGTGTGAGCCACCGTGCCCACCCGAAAGCAAGTTATTTTTAAACGAATTATAGAACATTATATGTTTGATGAGGACAAAAATATAAATATATACAGCTTTTCTCCTTTTCCCAACCTCTTGGGAAGTCAGTGTTTGTACTGCCAAAATGGGAGCAGAGGGGCCCTGAGCAGGGTGTGTAATGATTAAAGTCCTGAGAGGAAAGAAACCCAGAGGGCAGATTAATTTACAAAATAAAGGACTCTCTGTGAAATGTGGGGGAAGAAAGAATCTAAAATCTAAAGGACTTAGAGAGAAGGGGAGGAGACAGAGAGGGGGAGGGACAGCCACCAGGTGACATTCAGGGAAGCTAGATGGGCCAAGAAAATTTTGGAAGATGTTCTGTGGTGTAAATCCCCACCTGTCACTTTTTTGAGAGTCTTGTTAAGCAGCTAACCTATAAGGAGGCAGAACAGCAAAGTGGTTAAGGGCATAAGTTCTGTATTTGGAGGTCCTGGGTTCAAATCCTTGCTTTACCACTTTGTGGCTGGACAGCTATGTGCAGTTGTTGTACCTTTCTAGGATGCAATTTCTTGCCTATGAAATGGAAATGGGTGTCCTAATAGGTCCTACAAAAGGATTATCCCAAGGATCCAGTGAAGGATTATCCTGAGGATCTGATGACCTATTGTTAAATGCTGGGAAGATATATAAGAATTAAAAGAATGTTCTATGAACCTAGTGGTCCAATTAAAAAACAACAGCAATGATCACAGTAATTTGCATTTATTGAGTGCTCATTATGGCCCAGATACTCCTCTGAAGACTTTTATGTGGATTAATTCACTTAATTCTGAACACAACTCTACAAAGTAGGAACTATTATTATCCCCATTTTAAAGATGGTAAAACAGATATAGAGAATTCAAGTAACTTACTCAAGGTCACACAACAAGTAAATAGTGTTAATGGTAGTGAATCCATGTGAGTTTGCAATTCTTGCCCCCTCAGAAGAAAGAATTCGACCAAGGAGGCATAAGGCAGAAGGAGAGACCAAGGCAAGGTTTAGAGCAGAAGTGAAAGTTTATTAAAAAGCTTTAGAGCAGGAACAAAAGGAAAGAACATATACTTGGTAGAGGGCCAAGCAGGCAACTTGATAGACAAGTGCACAGTTTGACCTTTTGACTTGGGGTTTTATATATTAACACTCTTCTGGGGTCTTGCGTCCCTTCTTCCCTGATTCTTCCCTCAGAGTGGGTTGTCCACATGCACAGTGGCCTGCTAGCACTTGGGAGGGGAGCACGAGCAGTGTGTTTACTGGAGTTGTATGCATGCTCATTTGAGGCATTCTTTCCTTACCAGTGGAATGCCCCCGATGGTTATATACCAGTTAAATGGTACCATTTTGGCTCTTAATATGCATGCTCGAGCCTACTGGCCCAACTGCTGAAATCTTATCCAAAAGCTGCTGATCACCAGTTTCAGGTGTTTTTATCTATGGAGACTGCCTTTCCCTGGCACTGGCTGTGACTAATTATTATTTTAGAGAGACAGTGTGACAACTGCCTGACCATCACCTGATGGTCGCCTGACATTCCTGATGGAGTGGGGGGAGCCCTCTCTTACACTTCTCATGCCTGACTAGCTACCTACTTTAACAGTAGTAGAGCTGTGATTCAAACTCAAATGCTTCAATACTAGATCTGTACTCTTATCCCCTGTGTTATCTTGCATCTCATATACGAGTGTCTGTTCCTAAGATAAGTAATATCTGGGGGAAGTTTGCCTTGTTTTATAGATGCTTGGTTTGTACTCAGCAACCTTGTTACTCAAGGTGTAGTCCGCAGGCTAGCAGGATCAACAACATCTGGGAGCAGAATCTCAGGCCCTACTCCACACTCTTGAAACAGAAACTACATTTTAACCTGCTTCCCAGGTGATTTGTGATGATGGTGAAGTCTGAGATGCACTGCTCCAGAGTATGAAACTTCAGGCAGGTGGACTATCTCATTTATGCCTCCATCTCTTACAGTGTCCAGCACAGTGCTTGCCACCTATGGGTAAGTTCAAGACAGATCTCCTCTTGATCTAAGGAATGTTGCCTAGGAAATGGATTGACAAGTCTGAGTGGAATAACACCTTGTTAATCTCTGGTTGAGCGAGTGGATGTTCAGTGCCTCCAGCATTCAGCACATCAGGCACATAGCAGATCCCTTATACACGTTTCTTGAATTGTGATGGAAATGTTGTGAGATAGAGACATCCAGCACCCTAGCCTTCCCTGGATGTACTATGACATTTTAAAAGGCTGAATAATGCCAAGGCAAGCAGAAGAGTGATTATGCACTTATTCTTGACACAGTCTTAAGACAAGCTCTGCTCAGTTGGTTCCCCTGTGAACTCAAGCTGATTCTCTTCCCTCTTGAGTTCTCTATTGTCTTTGTGTTGTTTGCAACTCATTCAGAAACTAATTAAGTTTCAGGATCAGTTTTTCCTGTTAGAGAATGTGAATATGCTGAAGTGGTAGTTTTTAATAACTTAAATTATCTCAGTGAAAGGACAATTATAATTTGTTTCTAAAATTGGCCAAAAGTCAGCTTTTATCAAAATAATTCTCAGCAGACATTAGTCTCCCCAAGGTATTGTGTGAAAGGCAACAAAGAGGATTTAAATCAGCCATGGAGAATGTGTTGATAATCGGGCTATATTAATCCTGTTCTCTAGCAGTGTGTGAAATTACTTGTTTACTCCGCTTCTCTGGGCCTAGAGGTAGCTGATCACTCGTTGACAGAGCCATATTTTGTGATCACCTTTCAGCAGTGAGCTTCAGCTGGACCAAAGCCAAACAATTTGATTTCACTGTCCTGTGTACCACCTCCAAAGTCAAGGTCAGGCACAAGAACTCATGAACTCCAGTATATTTTGTCAGGGCTCTCATTTGTGCAGGCACCAGGAGGTAAGCTGTGGACCCTGAGTATAATTGTGAAAAGTTGGGAATTTTGTCTTTAGTATCTCCATATTGCTTTCCTGTACCCTATCCCTCTAGAAATGAAGGTTTATGTTGGCTTCATCACCAGACCAGAAATATTACCAAGATGAGCACTACTGGGGATCCAGTAAAGTATAAGAAGTAGTCCCTGATCTAAAGGAGTTTACACACACACACACACACACACACACACACACACACACACACAACTTGGAGTGCCTCTTGAATCTGTTTGTATTATTAATAATTATTGGTTGCTAGATAATATTACCACAAATTTAGCAGCTTAAAACAGCACACATTTATTATCTCACTGTTTCTGTAGGTCAGAAATACTGTTGCAGGTTATTTGGAATCACTGTCTCCAAGTATCACAAGTCTGCAATCGAGGTGTCAGTCAGGGCTGCTGTCACATCTGAGGTTCAACTGGAGAATGATCTACTTCCAAGCTCACATGGTTGTTGGCAGAATTCATTCCTTTCAGCGTGTTGGACTGAGAGTCTCAGTTTCTGGCTGCCTATTGGATGAATGTTACCCTCAGTTCCTTGCCTCCCAACATGGCCACTTCATTAAAGCCAACAAGGGAGAGAGTCTCTTATCAAGATGGTGTCATTATCTGAGGTGTCATAAAGGCAGAGATGACATTCTATTACTTTTGCCATATTTTATTGGTTAAAAGCAAGTCACAGGTCTCACCCATACTCAAGGTGAGGGTGGTATACGGGGCATGAATACCAGGAGATGGCCATCTTAGCCTCTGTCTGCCACACCACTCCTAATTTTTAATTCCAGCTGTACTGTTCTAGTTTAGCTCTTTTCCAGACAGAAAACAGAATCATCTCTATTGATTCAAGAGATTTTAATGAAAAGAACATTTACGGTTTTGTGGTCAAAGTTAAAGGAATTCATACGGAGGTTCCTAGAGACCAGCCACTGTGGTAAAATAGACCCAATGATATTCTGCCTACATGCCCTTTATCCAGTAAGTGCATCCCTCCCTCAAGGACTTCCAAGTGTTGACTGATAATGGCTCATGGCTGCCTCTTTTCTTGGGAATGCCTGATTGCTTTCAGCCAAGGGGAGGAAGCAGCAAATCTAAGAGTTCATGCCCCCTCATCCCTAGCATGACTTTCTCACATGGAGTTAAATAGGCTGAACCTCTTTCCTTAAGGGTACAATTCATGTCCCAGAGCCCCCATGGAATCAGATTGAAGCTGTACTCCAGCTGAGACCACTTCTTTGCTTCCTGCACTTTTCTTCTCTCCTCTCCTCTGAGGTAAGGAAATCAAGTGCATCTGAATCCCTGTTTCAGGCTTTGCTTCTAGGATGCCCACCTTAAGACTGGCAGGAAAACATTACAACCCATAAGCCTGAAGGGGTAAGGAGAGGAAACAGTGTTGTTACTAAGGCCAGTGATATCTGAAGGCTTGCAGATAGAGCTATGGTCATTTGCATGGCTACTGCTAAAGATCAGGGTAGGAGTTCGGAAGAAATATGCTGTTCTCTTTCTCCCCCCTTCCCCAGAACTGCATCCCTTTAGTGAAACCCAACATAACACTTGCCAACAGTGTGCTGGCAGTCAATGGAGGTAAGCCTTTTAGGGCCCTGAGCAGAGGGAAGAAAGTAGAATCAATGGGAAAAGGAGGAATAGAAGTGAGCAGCAAAACAGCCTCATATGATCACAAATGTTTTTTCTCTCCTGCAGTCCAACCATCATATTAGTACTAGACTGATCTTTATCAAATATTTATTTGATTATGCCCATTTCCCAGCTTCAAATCCTCTGTTTCCCGTTGCTTAAAGAAGTGATCCATAAAATTTCTGAATCATTTATTCCATGATTTAAAAAACTCTAAACATGTGCCTCCAGTTTATATGTTTATTCTTTTATAAATTACTTAAATTTACTATCATTAACTAATAATTCAGAGCAAGAACTACATACACTTGATATAGAATATCCTATCAGTGATTGCATGTATCAATCCATATTTCAAGAAGCCTTGATAATTTTTAATTATCTTGGGCAACTATTGACACATGTATAAGATTGCCACTATTATAAGCAAGTATGATGGCCAACGAGAACCTCAGACTAGGAGAAAAATGTGTCACCTCTGCTATTTCGTGGTGTTTGGTTGCCTACATTATTTTTTTTTACATTCAATAAGATTTCTTTGCAGTAATCCATTGGAGAGGTAGGGATAGTTAAAACTAAATATCATCATCTGAAATTCATTTAACCAGGCCCATGTGAACCAAAACTGTTGTAACAACCTGGAAATGAATAAATGAGGGAGGATGAGACAATTGACCCCTCTGCATTGTGGAAATCCTGTCATTCCCATCAGATGCCTTGTGAATTGCACATAACATGTGACTATCTTTTATATGGACCAAGAGAGGGCTTTTATTGAGTATAGGATTCCCATAGAGCCAGCTGATGCTTTGGAAAGAACACTGATTGAAGAATAAATTGTCTATCCCAGGAAGTTAATAAAGCAGCTTCACAATATTAGAAGAGCTGTCACCATTGTTTTACTGTCTGACTTGTGAACCTGTGAGAGTTATTGGCTCATGTGTATGAATCCACAGATAAACTGATTTAAAAGATGAGTGTGTGCTCTTAGATGGAGGGTAGTATGCTCAGATTGTACAGGTTGTAAATACAGAAGACATTTAAATGGGCTTATAGAAGTTTGGTCTTAATAGTGAGACATCTAAGAGTTTTTCAGTTGGTAGTGAAAGCATGAATGATTTTATCTGGAGATAAGTCAGAGCACAATAACAATAGCTACCACTATCAGAGCATCCACAATATACCTGGTATTGTGGTAATCACATTACATATATTATTTAATCTGCTCTTTACAGCACCTCTTCAAGATAGATATTACCATCTGAGACGTTAAATACCCTGCCCAAGGATACATGGTCAGTGAATGGAGGAGTCAGGATTTGAATCGGGAATTATGTGTCTCCTTGACAGAGTCTTTTTGCATTATACCTCACAATCAAGACTGATATTAGAGATGTCCCATTCTATCGTAGCTTGCATAGTATTTTATGTACAATATGTATGTAAAAATACAATATGTATTTCCTAACACATATTAAAACAGTGGATTTGGAAGAGATGGACTTGGCATGAGCCTATAAGGATAGGGAAAGTTAGAAGGACAGTGATGGCTCTTGGAGATAGGAGAGGCCAGTGAAAGCTGCAGAAGAGGAGTGTAGATTCCAAGGAGCCAGTTAATGCATTGGGAAAAGCGGAATTCAGGAAGATATTGATTGAAGAATAAGCTGTTCTTATCAGTTGATAAAGAGAGTTTGTAACACACTTACAAACCTGTCTGAACACAAAGCCATCTTTCCACCAGCTGATTCTTTTTCTCCCTTTGCTTTGTTGTAAATTTCATTTTCTGTATACTCTGTCACCTATGTTGCTGTAGTGACTGATCTGCTCACAACTTGTAAAAATAGAAGGAAAATGGTTTATGAAGCTATAGACTTATAATCTGTGCATTTTCTGTATTTGAATAGAATTTATTTACAAGTAGAAGGGATGTATGACTCTGTACGGAGGTTGAAATAAATCAAGGATATTTGTTGTATCCACTGTTCCTTGGTACATTTGAACAGTTCTCCAGCTAAAGGTTTTACCTGTGGTAAAAATAGCTTTGGGCTGGCTGATAGAAAACTGGTACTCCAGCCCCAGCTCTGCCATTAGAATAATTGCATAATATGGGCAAGCTGCCAATCCTCTCTGAGCTTGAATTTTTTCATCTGTAAAAAACAAATGTCCCAAAGTCCCTATTAATGTTCACTTTGGTAGAAGATAGAGCAGTTCTCATCCTAAAACTAATTTCCCAACACATATTAAAACCAGAATTGCAACTCTCCAAAACTACAAATTTCCCTAACCTAAGGGAACTGAGGTTCCTTTTACCTAAGGGAACTGAGGTTGGTAAACATTTTCTGAAGAGGGCCACATAATAAATATTTTAGGCTTTGTGGTACTTGCAATCTCTATTGCAACTACTCAGTTCTGCCATTGTAGTGAAAGCAACCGCAGATAAATACATAAATATATAAATGAATAAGCATGCCTGTGTTCCAATAAAACGCTATTGGTGTGCAGGAGTGAGTGTGTGTGCTTGTGTGTGAAATACATAAATACATAAATGAATAAGCATGCCTGTGTTCCAATAAAATGCTATTGGTGTGATTGAGTGTGTGTGTGTGTGTGTCTGTGTGATGCGTAATGCTGAGGCATAGCCATCATCCTGTAAAAGAGGTGGCATGCTGTACTCAGTTAAACCTGGTGTAGTGCTGGTACCAAGGGGAAGCTCACTAAATATTTGTGGAAGAAGGGAAGGAGAGAGAGAGGAATTATTCCCATTTTATAGATGAAGAAATTCCACTGCAGAGCACCAGTGCCATGTGAGGTTGAGGAAGCCATTGTCATTTTCCCTAATGAATCTACAAAGAAACAGAATTCCATAAGCAAGGTATTGAATTTTGCTCCTAAGAGAATCTTATACGTTCAGTCGTCTTCAGAGAAGGAGAGCACTGATGGCCTCTGGTGGATCACTGGGGCTCTGGGATGCAAAGTGTTATTATAAAGGATATCACATGGAGAGCATTTCTTCATGTGTTTTTTGGCTGCATAAATGTCTTCTTTTGAGAAGTGTCTGTTCAGGTCCTTCCCCCCCTTTTTGATGGGGTTGTTTGTTTTTTTCTTGTAAATTTGTTTGAGTTCATTGTAGATCAAAACCACAATGAGATACCATCTCACACCAGTTAGAATGGCAATCATTAAAAAGTCAGGAAACAACAGGTGCTGGAGAGGATGTGGAGAAATAGGAACACTTTTACACTGTTGGTGGGACTGTAAACTAGTTCAACCATTGTGGAAGTCAGTGTGGCGATTCCTCAGGGATCTAGAACTGGAAATACCATTTGACCCAGCCATCCCATTACTGGGTATATACCCAAAGGACTATAAATCATGCTGCTATAAAGACACATGCACACGTATGTTTATTGCGGCACTATTCACGATAGCAAAGACTTGGAAACAACCCAAATGTCCAACAATGATAGACTGGATTAAGAAAATGTGGCACATACACACCATGGAATACTATGCAGCCATAAAAAATGATGAGTTCATGTCCTTTGTAGGGACATGGATGAAGCTGGAAACCATCATTCTCAGTAAACTATCGCAAGAACAAAAAACCAAACACCGCGTGTTCTCACTCAGGTGGGAACTGAACAATGAGAACACATGGACACAGGAAGGGCAACATCATACTCTGGGGACTGTTGTGGGGTGGGGGGAGGGGGGGAGGGATAGCATTAGGAGATATACCTAATGCTAAATGATGAGTTAATGGGTGCAGCACAGCGGCATGGCACATGTATACATATGTAACTAACCTGCACATTGTGCCCATGTACCCTAAAACTTAAAGTATAATAATAATAAAACAAAAAAACAAAAACAAAATAAAACAAAACAAAACAACAACAACAAAAAAAAACAAAAAATAAAATAAAGGATATCACATGGAAATGGGCAGGGGGCCTGCAGTGCTTAAATGTAGCTGCTGTTTCCACAAGTTCAGAATAGGAAGCTTTGTGCTTTTCCTCCCCATCACTTTCCCCCTTTTGATTCTGAATTCTGATATGGCAGGTGGGAGTGGGAAAGGGAAAGGTGAGAATGGGCTAGTGCATTTGGGCACAGGGATTCAGATGCTGGGCCTCTGTCTTGGAGCTGGCTTGCTGAGAGCATTTTGAGAAGAGGGCAAAGTTTTAGGGGTGGGAAATATGGCTGTTTCTTCAGAAAGAACAATATACTTCTCCATGCCATCACATAGGAGTTGAGTTGGATTTTTAGTCTTGAAAACTTGAGATGTGATTAAATTGATGAACCAACAAATCTGTACAATTTCACACAAGCCATACACTTATTGAAGAGCTGGATTACAGTTTGCAGCCTATTGAACTAATTCATTAATTTTATTTCACAGGCTAAAAATTTTACTATGCAAATGTATGCAAATCATACAAGAAAGTAGTGTTCTTAACCAAGTGCAGCAGCACCTGTTTTTTGTTTGTTTGTTTCCTTTGATTTGTTTCACTGGAACTGTGTCACTGGGTTGGAAAGTGAGATAAATACCTTCAATGTTTGAAACTGTGTGTCAAACAATTTTCTGAAGGGTGATTGGGAGGCTTTCTCCTTTGACAAATATTGCAGTGATTGGCACTTCTTTTTTATTCTTTTACTTGCCTAAAACAGAATGAAGAAGATGAGCAACATTTATGAGTCCGCTGCCAACACACTGGGAATCTTTAACAGCCCCTGCCTGACCAAAGTTGAGCTGCGTGTGGCGTGCAAAGGCATTTCTGACAGAGATGCCCTTTCCAAACCAGACCCCTGTGTCATCCTCAAGATGCAGTCTCATGGGCAGTGGTTTGAGGTAGGCATGTCCAATGAAATGGACAGAACCATGGCTGGATGATTGGCTCAAAAATGTTTTGATATTTTATATCTTCAGGTGGTTTATTTTGATGAAATAAGAAATTTGAGAAGTGAATATGATCACATTTCTATCATGATGTTTTGATGTTGCTGTTTTGATGTTGTGGATATTTTGACATTTACCCTTAATTCATGAGCCTAAGACTTTTTAGGTGTTTTTGTTAATTACCAAGAAATACTCACAATATACTCTTCATCCCATGCCTACTCATTGGCAACACACAGGTAGCAAGAGGACCAGGAACAGACGTGAACCCAGACCCCAGACTGGGCCGGGGTGAGAAAGTTCCAAAAACTGGTTCCAGAGACAAAGTCTTGTGGCCAAGGCAGAGTTCAGATTAGACTTAATAAGAATTTTGGGAATGGTAGCTTTGAGGAAACAGGTTTTAGGGGGTTGAGAGAGAAGTGACTACTCAGATGGAATGAGCTCAGTAGATGACAGTCCTATCCATAGGTCCCGAATTGAAAGAGGGAACCAAGAGGACAGGTATGAGCAAGTCAGTCCCATGAAATCTCTGTCTGCAGTAGAGGGGCAAACTCCACTTTTGGGAGCTGGGCTGGGCTACTTACTATCCAGGGTAACTGGCCAGAACTGAGGAGTAGGGACAAAGACTGAAGTCCAGTTCTCTGACCAAGCCCAAAACAGGGTGACTGTTGGACAGAGCTGACCCAGGACAAATCGTAGATCTATAGAGAAACATAAACTCTTGTTGTGGACCCAAGAGAGCCACGTGGGAACCCAACAACGATAATTAAACCCAGTCTTCAGGACTGAAGAAGTGACTCGTTCTAAGCCGCATGGGTTTATGGGGCTGAGTGGGATGGTTACCTCAGTCTGAGTTGGTTGAGGACTGGAGAAAGATGAATCCTGCATGTGGAAATCATGAGTAGATTCAGAAGTAAGGAGATGGGGATGGCAGAAATAGGAGGAACGGGCTGGGGGCCTACAAGCTCATAAGGCCAGCATGCAGTTTTAACCAGCTTTGGAAGGTAGCAAAACCACATTCAGACATCCCCCAAGACTCATGTGTAAAATATCCACTTGGAATGTTTCCTAACACACACTGTTTGCTGTGCTTGTGCAAGGCAGCTGCTCCTTTGGCAGTGGTGTGAATGGAATGACATTTCTGTGAGTCATTCTTCAAAGAGCGATGGGCCCCCACGTTGTTAAGAGATGACTTGGGTTTTTACAAAAAGTTTATTCTGGGAAGGATTTATTCATTTTTGTGCCTGCTAGACTCTAACTGATCACGGACCCAGTGGAGAGAAGCTCTAGGAAAAACAGTGGGGTTCTTTGTATCAACTGTGCTACACTTGGCGAGATGTTTCTCTGACTAATGGTGGTACCTGGGGAAGAACAAGGGGACACATCATGAAATATTTATTTTTTGGAGCAAGAACTTGAAACAATATGACCTAAACTTTACTGGGTACTTTTTAAGTGCCAGGCACTAGTCTGGCACTAAATTACCAGTTTAGTTCTTTCAAAAATTCTATGAGATATTATCCCCATTTTACAGGCAAGGAAATGGAAAGACAAAAAGATTAAGGATTTTCCCAAGAGCAGTCAGCTTGTAAGTGGAAAAGCTAATATTTAAACCCATACATTGGAGCTCCAGAAACTGAGATCTTTATTGCTATTTTATAATTGTGCTGGACACTGGTATCAGTCTTTGGTGGTTTGTGTGGCAATATTTTAGGTTGAATTCCGCAGCTAGGTTTTTTTTGTTTATTTAAAAATCCAAACAAATTGGATAAGGACTGATTTTAAGTTTGTCTGTTTTTTTTTTCCTTTTTTGCATCTAGGTACCTAGTCTAAGTAAGCCTTGTTTTTAAAGATCTAGCTGATGTGAATGGAGAAATAGGGAGGAGAAGAGGATGTAGCAGAGGAAGCAGTTCTTATTCTAAGAAAATAAAGTACTCAGAATAAGGGATTTGAAGCCATGCTGATCAGAGCACAAATAGACCTGTTTTGGATCCCTTGGACCAAATTCTTTAAGCCTTCAATACTATGCTCACCTGTTTATAAGCAGCCGGAAGGTGTCCCTCTAAGAGACAGTCTTCCACTCTATAGGAGAAAGAAGGTTCAAAAGACCCGAGAGTCAGCATGTTTAATTGTATGTAGATATGTGATATCAGCCACTTCTCTGAAAGAAAGGCTTGATAGCAGTTAGTGAGCAGGTGAAATTTAGGTGAGGAGTCAACATACACAGAAAATGAATGCTGATAGGCAGATTGGGGAATCTTAATTTAACTTCAGGCCTATCGAAGGCTTAGAATGTAAATATAAAACAGTATTCATGGGTGTCTTAATACATAGTATCTTTTTTTTCCCTTCTAAATATTCTCATTGACTTTGTTAGTCTCATTATTTTTTATTTAACAAAACTAAATGGAATGCCTACATTATAAAAAAGTAACTCCTTGGAAATTACAGGCAAGAAATCCATCTACTTCTAACCCGTTAACATAATTCAACTATTATTTGTACATATTTATTTTAGTCTTTTTCTTCTGGCATGCATATTCTCATATGATTATTATCATGCTTGTAAAATTTTCTTTCCTAATTTTATTGCTTAGTAGTATGTGCTTTTCCTCACATTGCTACAATATTGATCATTGTAATTTCAAAGCTGCATAATATCCCATCAACTGGATTTAAATTCATCAATTTTTTCACTTTGAAATTCCTTCCAGATATACCCTATTTTAAGTAATACTGCAATAAACATCTTTGTGCTTGAGGATTTTCCCTTCTTTTTGGATGAGTTCCTACAATAGATTCTGTTAAGTAGAACTGGTGGGACAAATAATAGGAAGCTTTTGAGGCTTTTGATACATATTGTCAAATAATTTTTCCAAAGCGTCCTATTAAACTATAGCACACAGCTACCACAAACTTTGCCACCCGTGCACAGTGATAAGAACCTTGTGCCACAGTGTAAATTGATTCACGGCTTCCTTTACCTAGAAAGTCTCACTCTATAACCATTAATATCAGCTTAATTGCTAGCATGCTTAATCATATGGTTCATTGATATTGTGGTACTTCTAGAAGCAGTTTAGCAAATTTTGCTCTCTTAACAATATACAGTAAGGATATAATAATAATAATAATAATAAAACCAAAGTGCATGCCAGGTGGCTAAGAGAAATAATTAGATAATTAGTAACAAAGAAGCTGCAAATACTGAAAACCTAAATAGGGGCTGTGAAGAAACCCAGGGATGAACAACAGGAACTCTGCTTAGGGCTGGAGCAGTCATGTGTTGGAGTCAGCTTATATAGTCTCCTGAGAGCACACTGTTAAATATTCAGGAATTTTGCAAGTCAGGGAGTATTTACACCACAGACACTGGCAAATGTTTCAAATTAAGGGTTCTCTCCTTTCCCCAACCCTCTAAGGGAGCCAGCACTCCTCTGGGTGACAGGGACAAAAGGAGAAGATGGTAGTCCCAGAACCAAACAGCTGGGCCATCCAGCAGAAGCTGGATCATGGTCGGAGGACTCTTCTAGGCAACATTTCCAGCCCTGCCTGCAACTCCTCTATTTCTCCTACTCCTACCAGATGGGTCCTCCAACCTGCCTCAGCCTCCCAAAGTGCTGGAATTACAGGTGTGAGCCATCATGCCTGGCCGGAAATATTTTCATTAGGTGAAAACTTACAGTAAATCTTTAATAATGGCCATGATTTTTATTGACAGAAAAGAGGGAAGAAAAAAAACTTGACTTTGAAATACATTACAAACTGAGAGTTTCATTTCATACCCTTTCATTTTCCTAATTTAGGATCATATCCTTTAAAAAAATCCCTCTTCATCAACTCCTGGCTATGTAATGATGGCAATATATGGTGACAGTTAAGTGTAATGATAATTTAGAATGCTTTCCATCTTCCATCGAGGAGTGGAAATAATATCTTCCTGCTTTCTGGTGAGTCCTGATGTGTTCACTAGCTCCTGGAACTAAGCATCATAATCAAGTGGTACAAACAAACACTTCTTAGACAGTCAGAAGGCAAGGACTCTTATGAACTAAAGACTTATATTCAGTTCACTGGAGCATATGCTCTATTCCTGGGCATGCCTGGGTAGAATCAAGCTCGTGAGTGTGTGGCCCTTGGCAGTGACCCTATGATTGGAGGAGTACTTGTTCTCATTGGGAACACCCAAATTATACTCCAAACTTCTAGGTGGTTGCTTCAATCACCATTAATTCAATTTTTTCATTGAATTTTAATACACAATCATTGAGATCTTTCTTGGAAGCTCTAAGTAATTCTGAAAACTACCTACCTTTGGATCAATTCCATATGGAAGCATGTTATGATGAACCATGGGCTTTGGTGAGTTGTTGGTAATTATTGTTAGTGACGATTTGTGCGGTTATATGTAACACATCAATTATCAGTGGACTCTACTACAAGATTATTGTTTGTAGTAATAATATATCCATATAGTGTTTTATATTCACAATATCCATCCACTTATGTTATTTCCTGCTGATAATAGCTCTGTGAAAAAGCAACACAGCTATTTAACCCCAGCATGTATTGAGCACTATGGCTTGTGTCCTCAAAGACCTCAGTGTCCAGTAATCTCACCCTATCTTAGAGACAGAGAGCTGGGGTCTCAGACAGTCGTGTGACCTTGAGAAAGAGGACACTACATGAAATCTTGACTTAAATCTTTTTCTTTCCCTGAATGTGTGGTAGGAAGACCATCTCAAGGGTGCCTAGGTTACCTTTATGTGGAGGGGGCCTAAAATAAATCATGCCATAGTGGTGGTTGTACTAATTTACATCCCCACCAACAGTGTACAAGGGTTCCCTTTTCTCCACATACTCACCACCATTTGTTATTGCCTGTCTTTGGATACAAGCCATTTTAACTGGAATGAAATGATATCTCATTGTAGTTTTGATTTGCATTTTTCTGATGATCAGTGATGTTGAGCACCTTTTCATATGCCTGTTTGCCATTTGTATGTCTTCTTCTGAGAAGTATCTATTCATATCTTTCACCTATTTTTTGATGAGATTATTAGATTTTTTTTCCTGTAGAGTTGTTTAAACTCCTTATAATTCTGGTGATTAATTCCGATCCCTCCACTGTTTTTCATTTTCTCTTCCCCCTCCCCACTCCACCTACCCAGATGTAGGGTTTGGTCACCATATGACCTAGCATCCCTGTTAGCAGCACAGAAGGGATAATGTGTGCCCATGTTGTTGAGCTTGCCCAGAGAAGTGGGCTGTGGAATTTTCTTGGCTAGAGGGCTTGTGGAAGAAGTCAACAAAACAGGTTTCTCTCATGCTTGGGATAATAGTGGGCCAGCACCCTTTCATGTATTAAACCATGAGGATAAAACTCAAAATAACAATTTTACCTATACCTAAGATATTCAATTTTCCATTGCTCCAAAGCCTAGAACTTTTATGAAAATGGGACAAGCAATATTAACATTTATGTGATGAATTAAAGTAGCCATCAATCTGTGTTGATGCCAGTTATGTATTAGTTAATTTACGTATATTCTATCCTCACAATTACTCTGCAATAAAAGCTTTACTAACTAGAAAAGATAGCTAAGGCTTGAGAATTAATACATCGCCCAGGGTCATACAATTAGTAAACAGTAAAGCTGGAATCTGGTTGCTTCCAAAGCCCATGTTATTTCTGCTTTTTCAAAGGTTGCAAACTTGAATCTGGTGGCCTTTCTGTTGTCTGCAGACATATTTTGTCTGGTTTTCACAGTGTTCTAACAAGCTTTGTAGTAATTGCCGTAACTCAAAGATCATGAGATTTTTCATAAAACTCCAGATTTCTGGTTTCTTCCAAGCAACCAGAAAATCTGGCAATGTGGGGTCTTTAATCCTATGGCAACAATGAGCTGGTGATAATTAGCATCTTCCCTCCTTAACAAAATACGAGGTTCGTGCTTGTGCCTCCTGCTAGCCAGCCTGCTTCACTCACTTGCCCTACAAAAGTGGCCCCTGGAGGCGTTTGAGTTTAGACTACACTCCCACACTCACTTGACTAGGTCCCTGAACACTGTTAACTTCCCAGTTGTGGACATAGACGAGAGCTAGAAAATGAAAATTAAGTCAATTAAAACATTCCCTCTGGATATCACAGACAAGCTTCTTTCTCAAAAGATTTTCTGTTCACACTTTGTTGACTTGCAAGGTTTGGATGGGTAACACCCAGCATGACAGATGATAAAAAAACGACAGTTTTCTTCACTTGTTCACAAAGTTTGCACTGTGATTTTGCATCAGACTCCCATTTGGGAAAACTTTGATGTTGCTTTATACCTCCCCCTTAACACATCCTTAATAAGAATAATTTTTTAAAAAAACAAAAAAGAAAAAGAAAGCTGATCTTGGTGATATTAGAAATCTTACCCTGAGTATTGAATATAAAAGAAAACAAAATCAAATATTACAGCCAGATAATATTTTCTCCTTGTTGCCTGGGGTCATGTGCCTGTGACCAGAGGCTGATGGTTCCATGATGTTCAACTTTTAAGTGATGCACTTAGATACAGGAAAATAAGATTACTGGATTGCATATGTGACTAATTGGATTCCTTATAAGTAAAATCTCAACATTTTCAGTGTCATAATGTCTGAGAACAGAATTACACAAGAAGGGAAATTCAGGTTACAGATGAGCAAAAAGTATTTGAATTGAAATCTGTGTTGCCTCTTAATTAATTCTTTTGTATGCCCTGAAGATAATTTCATCAGCCAGAGGAATAACATCTGGCTTCCTGCACAGAGTAAAACATGACATTAGCCTTACTCCCATCCTTAGGCTGAAGAACTGGCAAGCCACATTCTGGGCATTCAAGTGGAGCATTGGTCCCCAGCAGTTTTTATAGTGTACCTTGAGACCCATGCTGGTCATTTGAAAGATGGAATTACAGATTGGAGAAAGAGTTTGAGAGGGCATGTACAATTAGGAGTCTTCTGCCTCTAGATTGAATCACCTTCAACATTTCAAAGGAGGTATTTTTGACACTTTTCCTGAGTGCCTATTTGCATGTTTAACTAGACTCACTATTGATAATTATCTCCTTAAAAGTCATATTTCCTTTGTAATTTCAATCTATTTTATCTCTTTATTAATGACAATGATGATTTATTTATAATACCTTAAATATATTGAGAGTACTTAAACAATGTATCAGGTACTCTCCTAAGCACTTTATATATATTGTCATATTTAATTATCAAAACTATCTTGCAAATTGGGCTCATCTATATTTTATTTTATTTTTTCCATCCTCTTTTTTTTTCTTTAAGAGACAGAGTCTCTCTCTCTGTTGCCCAGGTTGGAGTGCAGTGGTGCAATCATAGCTCACTGCAGTCTCAAATTCCTGGGATCAAAGAATCTTCCTACCTCAACCTCCCAACTAGCTAGGACTATAGGCACATGCCACCACACCTGGCTAATTTTATTTTTCATAGAGATGGGATCTTGATATATTGCTTAGCTGGTCTCAAACTCCTGGCCTTGAGCAATCCTCCTGCCTTGGCCTCCCAAAGTGCTGGGATTACAGGTGTGAGCCACTGTGTCCAGCCTATTTTTTTCTATTTTTATTGAGGTATAGTAGACAAAAAAAATTGTATATAGTGTAGAGGCACAGAGGTGTTAAGTAACTTGCCCCAGGTCACACAAGTGGTAAGTGAAGGAGCAATGACAAATTGAACCCAGACTGTCTGACTTCAAAACTGTCCTCCTGCTATCCTTCACTGTCTTCCTCTCAGAATAATGAGTACCAGACTGTTTGCTATGCACCATATGCTAAGTCATTACATGCATATTCATATAATCCTCATGACAGTATTATAAGATAGGGACTGTGATAACCCACTCTACAGGTGAGAAAACTGACATTCACATAGGAAATGTATATGTTCAGGTCACGAGACTAGTGAGAAGTGGGATTAGGATTTGAACTCAGATCTTTGTGTCTCCAATACCCATGTTGTCTTCATGACACTGCACCTCTCTCATCCAGTTCTCTGTGGAGGCAGAATAACCCAACGAATTACCACTAGTCTATAAAATTAATGTTTTTCTCTCCTTTGGTTCTAGGCATCCAAATTATTCCTTTCATCAATGTCCTCATCTAAAACCATGTGTTTCATGTTAATCTGGAGTACGTGGTATTGATATTCCTGCCCGTTAGGAATCTGCCTTCTTTTGTATCCAGCATTTACTTCTATTAAGCCTGTCTTTAAACCAAACTCTTAATCATTCCCAAAATTAAACACTCATTTTTCTGGCCATGGATTTTAGAGCAAGTATTCCTGAGCATTTTGTAGAGAAAAATTATGCTTAATGTCTAAGATCATAAGGTAAATAAAGGTCATGGTGCTGATGGTCCCTGATCTCAGGATGGTGAAATAAGGTAAGGCATCCATGCCTCTTAAAATGTGGCACCAGGAGGTATCAAGTACAATGGAGGATTTCATCAAGGGAGAAGATAGTGGAGCAATGACATCAGGGACCTGCACTCTTCACTTCTGTTAATACCTTCTATAACTCCATTAAGAATGGTCATGTGGTTTGTGATCAATTAAAACTCAGATACTTTCTGTGCAAACTGTGCCAAGACAAGATTTTGCTATTTGATACTTGTGCAATTATTTTTTTTACTCTTTACATACATATTTTCCCTATTAGAGTTCACCTTTGTGGTTTGTAGGGGATGTACATTGTTTGCACTTCAATTTCTCATCTTTTGTGTTACTTAAATCTCCCAGGTTTGTGCTATTAGTTTGGTTTCATTTAATAGTATTGGTTTAAAGAATATCTGTTAAACATAGGATTTGTGTTTGTTGTGATGCTATGATAGTAATCGGAGTGAAGCCCATACAATAGCTACAGTTTGTATGCTGCCCTTTTTATCATTTCATAATAAAGAATATATGTGTATATATATGTATATTATCAAAATTAGTCATAAACCTCATTTTAAATGATTGTATAATATTTCACATACAAAATCTACCACAGTTGGTTGAACCAGCTTTCCATTATTGGATATGAATTTTCAAAGCTTTGCTATTATGAATAATTACAGGATAAATTTCTTATATATAAGGGACATCTGGCCCCAATCACCCTGTATTTGAGATTTTTTTTTTTCCTAGAAGTAAAATTATCATGATAAAGAGTAGGAACATTCTTAAAGTGATCCGCCCACCTTGGCCTCCACTGGGATTATAGGCGTGATCCCCTGGCCGGGGATTAGATAAGTTTTTTAGCCATTGAAATTCCTGGAAGGAGGATTGAAGTTTTTCATTGTTTATTTGAACCTTGGGACACAAACAGTTCTCAGCTTCTCCAATCTGATTCACCAAATGTTAGCTTGAATTTCAAGGTTTCCAAATTGTGTCCTGAGGTAGCCTAATTACTTCAGAGGTACTGCAATTATTTGTTTGAAATATAAATACAATTTCTTCCTTTTTATCAACTTTAGTGAGATGATTTACATATAAAATATATCAAAATGCATTCATTTTAGATGTTCAGCTTGATGAGGTTTTTCTTTTCAAATGGATTAACTTGTAGTTTAGTTTGTTAGTATAAATTTTCATATTCAGTTTATGAAAAACAAAAAAAATAAAATTAACTCAGGATCAAGATGAAAAATTAATGTAAAATTATTTTGTAGAATGGTTATTTTTAAGAAATTACTTTTAATTGACACATTGTAACTGTATATATTGATGGGGGACAATTTCATGTTTTATATAATTATCCAGTCAGAGTAGTATATGCTTCATCTCATGCATTTATCATTTATTTTGTGGTTAGAATTTTCAAAAGCCTCTCCTCTAGTTATTTTGTAAAAAACAGCATTTTACTGTTAACCATTTTCACTCTACTGTGCATTAAAACACCAGAAGGTATTCCTTCTAACTGCAACTTTGTACCCATTGACCAACATCTCATCCACTCCTCTCTCCTCCCCTTCTCAGCCTCTGGTATCCACTGTTCTACTCTCTGCTTCTATGATACCAACTTTCTTAAAAAAAGATTCTACATATAAGTAAGATTAGACAGTGTCTTTCTGTGCCTGGCTTATTTCACTTAATATGAAGTTCTCCAGGTTCATCCATGTTGATGCAAATAACAAGATTTCACTCCTTTCTATGGCTAGATAGTATTCTGTTGTGCAAATATATCACACTATCTTATCCATTCATTCGTTGTTGGACATTTAGGTTGACTGAATATCTTGGCTATTATAAATAATACTGCAGTAAACATGGGAGTGCAGATATCTCTTCAACATACTGATTTCATTTTCTTTGGATATATGCTTGGTAGTGGGATTGCTGGATAATATAATAGTTCTATTTTTAATTTTTTGAGAAACTTCATACTATTTTTCATAGTGGCTGTACTAGTTTACAGTCCCTCCAATAGCGTGTAAGTGCTGCCTCTTCTTTACATCCTTGCCAACACTTATTTTCCTTTGTCTTCTTGATAATAGCCATTTTAACTGGGTGAGGTATCTCATTGTGGTTTTCATTTACATTTTCCTGATAATTAGTAATATTGAACATTTTAAAAATTTGCTGGTTCATCATATGTATGTCTTCTTTTGAGAAATGTCTATTTAAGTCTTTGTTCATTTTTAAATCACGTTATTTTTTTTAATGTTAAGTTCCTTATATATTCTGAATGAATATTAACCCTTTGTTAGGTGTCTGGTTTGCAAATATTTTACCCCATTCTGTAAGTTGTCTCTTTACTCTGTTAAAAGTTTCCTTTGCTGTGCAAAAGCTTTTTAGTTTGGTGTAATCCCATTTGTATATATTTGCTTTTTTCTCTTGTGCTTTTGAGGTCAATTTTCTGGACTAGTTTGAGGAGAATTGGTATTAATTCTTCTTAAATGTTTGGTAGGATTCAGCAGTAAGGCCATCAGGTCCTGAGCTTTTCTTTGATAAATGTCTTTTTATTACTCACTCAATTTTTTCACTTGTTATTGGTCTGTTCAGATTTTCTGTTTCTTCATAATTTAATCTAGGTAGGTTGTATGTGTCCAGGAATTTATGTATTTCTTCTATGTTATCAAATTTGTTGTCGTGTGGTTGTTAATAACAGTTTAGACTATCTAAAGGTTTTGTCAATTTTATCTTTTTAAAAAAGTGACTTCATTTCACTGATCTTTTGAATCTTTTTTTTGTAGTCTATATATTGTTTATTTCTGCTCTGAGCTTTATTATTTCTTTTCTTCTATCAATTTTGCCTTTAGTTTGTTCTTGTTTCTCTAAGTTTCTTGAGGTGCACTATTAGGTTGTTTATCGGAAATCTTTCTTCCTTTTTGATGTTTCTTACCATAAATGACCCTTTTAGAACTGATTTTGCTGCATTCCACAGGTTTTGGTATGATGCATTTCCATTTTTTTATGTATCCCAATAAAAATTTTAATTTCCTTTTTAATTTCTTCATTGACCCATTGGTTGTTTAAGAGCGTGCTGTTTAATTTCCATGTATTTGTACAGTTTCTGAAGCTTTTCTTGTTGGTTTCTAGTTTTATAACATTGTGATCAGAAAGGATACTTGATGTGATCTTTATATGCTTAAGGCTTGTTTTATGGCCTAACATGTGATATATCCTGGAGAACATTCCATGTGAATTTGAGAATAAAGTGTATTCTTCAGCTATTGGATGAAATGTTCTGCAAATGTCTGTTAGGTCCATTTGGTCTATTGTGCAGTAGAAGTCTGATATTTATCTGTCAAATTGTTTGTCTCGATGACCTGTACATTATTGAAAGTTGGGTGTTGAAGCCTCCTACGATTACTGTATTGCTGACTACCTCTCCTTTTAGGTCTAATAATATTTACTTTATATATCTGGGTGCTCTGGCATTGAGTGCCTATATATTTACAATTGTTATATTCTTTGTTGAATTGATTCCTTTATTATAACGCTCTTCTTTGTCTCTTTTTACAGTTTTCTACTTAAAGTCTACTTTATCTGATATAAGTATGGCTACACACTTTTTGTCTCTGTCTGCATGGAATATCTTTTTTCATCCCTTCATTTTTAGTCTATGTTTGCCTTTAAAAATGAGGTGAGTCTCTTATAGGCAGCATGTAGCTGGGTCTTGTTTTTTGTCTTTTAACCTATTCAGCCACTCTATACATTTTAAGTGGAGAATTTAATCTATTTATATTCAAGGTTGTTAATAATGGATAAAGGGTTACTTCCACTATTTTTAGTTGTTTTCTGATTTTTTTAAAATTCTTTCTTCCTTCCTTTCTCTGTCATTGTTTCATCTGGTTTGTTGGTTTTCTGTGGTGCTAAGCTATATTTCCATTCTCTTTCTCATTTGTTTATCTGCTGTAATTTCTTTCTTTGTAGTTACCATGGGGCTAATACAAAGAGTCTTGTAGTTAAAATAGACGATTTTAAGCTGATCACAACTTAAGTTTGGTTGCCTAAAGATACTCTAGACTTTTTTCTCTGCCCTCCATTTATATTTTTGTTGCCTTAATTTACCTTTAAAAAAATCCATTATGTGTTCCTTAGTCACTAAATGTAGCTTTTGTTGTTTTTGACTATTTTGACTTTAAACCTTTATAGTAGAGGATTAAGAGATTTATATAGCACCATTATATCACTGGGGTATTCTGAGTTTAATTTATAAATTGACCTCTGCTGGTGAGTTTTATACTTGCATGTGTTTTCATGATAGTACTTATTGTTCTTTTATTTCTAGCTGTAGCATGCCCTTAAGCATTTCTTGTAAGGCTGGTCTACTGGTGATGAATTCCCTCAACATTTGCTTGTCTGGAAAGGTCTGTATTTCCCCTTCATTTCTGAAGAATAGCATTTCTGGGTCTGGTTTCAAGGTGGCACCGAGCTGTAGCAGCTTAGATCATGAGGGTAAGAGGTAGTTAAGCTGGCTTCCACATTGGTGGCAATGCAGCTATGCAAATATTGGATACTCTGCAAACTGAATTTGGGAACTGTGAGGATTCAGAATCTCTCCTATAGCAAGGATTTTTATAGGGGCAGTGGGGACTGTTTGGGGATCTCCAGCTTACCTTTTTTCTTGTAAGATGGAGTCCCGTGAACTCTGAGCTAATCTTGGCAGGAGAGACAGTGTGGCAGAGGTGAGACTCTTTGCCTCCCTCTCTACGGTCCTATCCTGGGCTTTCATACTCCACAGAGATTTTTTGCCATTCCCATGGTGCCCTTCAGTGTACTTCTTCAGTTATTCTAGTTGAAAAGTAGTTGTTTATTGGTTGTTTTTGTCTCTTTTTGTGGAGGTGAGATGAGCACCAGGTAATTCTAGTCAGCCATCAGTCTTGCTTAAGCCATGTAATCAAATGCCCATTGATGATAGACTGGATAAAGAAAATGTGGTACATATACACTATGAAATACGATGCAGCCATAAAAAGAATAAGGTTATGTCCTTTGCAGAAGCGTGGATAAAGCTGGAGACTATTATCCTTAGCAGACTAACACCAGAACAGGAAACCAAATACCACCTGTTCTCACTTACAGGTGGGAGCTAAATAATGAGAACACATGTACACATAGCAGGGAACAACATACACTGGGGGCTATTGGAGGGTGAAAGGTGGGAGGAGGGAGAGGATAAGGAAAAATAACTAATGGGTACTAGGCTTAATACCTGGGTGATGAAATAATCCATACAACAAATCCCTATGACACAAGTTTACCTGTGTAACAAACCTGCATGTGTACCCCTGAACTCAAAAGTTTAAAAAAAAAACTCGTAGCTTGATGAGTTTTGATTAATGTATACACCTGTGCAACCACTATCCCAATTATAGAATATTTTCTAAAATATATTTTAATATTTAAAATATGTAACAGAAAACAACCCACATACCTAAATTTTATTTCTCTCCAGCTTTATTCAGGTGTAATTGTTATAAAAAAAACTTCATAAAATTAATGTATACAATTTGGCAAGTTTGGATATGTGTGGGCACTCATACTGGTATCACCACAATCCAGATAAAAAATATATATATATCCATCATCTTCAGAAGTTTCCTTGTGTCTCTTTGGGTTTTTGTTTGTTTGTTTTTCTGCTAAGAACCCTTAACATGAGATCTGTCCTCTTAATAAATATTTAAGTACACAATACCTTATTATTAACTATAGGCACTATGTGGTACAGCACATCTCTGGGAATTACTGTAATTTTGCAATTATTAAACAACAACTTCCTGTATGCCCCCTCCTCATCCCTGGGTATCCATCATTCTTTTGTCAACTTCTGTATTTCTGATTATTTTAGATGTCTCTTATAAGAGGAATCATGCAGTGTTTGTCCTGTGACTGGCTTATTTCACTTAGCATCATATCTTTCTGTTCCATAATGTCTTCCAGATGCAAATAATAGATGTTTCTTATTTTTCAATGCTAGGTAATATTTCATTGTATGTTTATACAACACTTTCTTTGCTTATTCATCTGTTGATAAACATTTGGATTGTTTCCATATTTTGGCTATTGTGAATAATGTTGCAATGAACATGAGAATACAGGTATTTCTTCAAGAGCCTGATTTCAGTTCTTTTGAATATATACCCCCAAAGTGGGATTGATTAATAAGATGTAGTTTTCTTTTTAATTTTTTGAGGAACCGCCATACTGTTTTCCATAATGGCTGCAGCGTTTTATATTCCCACCAACAGTGTATAAGGGTTCTAATTTCTCCACAATCTCACTAATGGTAGGTTTTTTTTTTCTAAAAAAAAAATAATAATGCCTATGCTTACAGGAGTGAGGTGATATCTCATTGTGATTTTAATTTTTATTTCCTTGCTGATGAGTGATGTTAAGCACGTTTTTATATACCTGTTGGCCATTTTTATGTCTTCTTTGGAGAAAAGCCTATTCAGGTCCTTTGCCCATTTAAAAAATCAGGTTATTTGTGTTTTTACTATTGTGTTTTATGAGTTTATTATATATTTTAGAAATTAATTCTTTTTAGATATATGATTTACAAATATTTTATCACATATCATAGATTCCCTTTTCAGTCTATTAACTGTTTTCTGTGTCGCGCATAAACTTTTTGGTTTGACACTATCTCACTTGTCTATGTTTGCTTTTGGTGCCTGTGCTTTTGGTGTCATATTAAAAAACATTGCACAAATCAATTTTGATAATTTTTTTCTATATTTTCTTGTAGTAATTTTTCAGTTTCAGGTCTTATGTTTAAGTCTTTAATCCATTATTAGTTGATTTTGTTATGGTGTGAGATAAAAGCTCAATTTCATTCTTTTGCACATGGACATCTGGCTTTCCCAATACCATTTATTGAAGAGACTATCCTTCTCCATTGTGTGTCCTTGGCACCCTTATCGAAGATCAGCTAACTGTAAATGTGACAACACATACACTTAAAGGCACAGATGCCTTTAAAGTGAAGATGCCACTAATTCTCAGATTGTGTTGCCATTGGTTGACATTACAGTAAATGACAGAACTTTCAAGTTATACTAAAATACCACTCAAAACTATTAAACATTTTGGGGTTCTGTGAAGGGGGAAATATGGTTTCATTACTAAAAAATATTTGAAATTCAGAAAGTGGCATAAGAAGAAAAATAAACTCTTGGCTGGTTTATCTCAGAATGAAACTTAACTATTTGTAGTGTGATCCACCAGGCTTTCATTCAACCTGAAATTAGTTTGCTAAATGACTTAGGAGGCTGTTGTAGCAGCCTGGCTTGATCTGAGGTCAGTTTGGAAACAAGGCAGGGATTCACCACAGGTTAACTGTGTGACCTTGGGAAAGCCACTTAACATCTCTGAGCCTTTTATATTACTGCATCTCTGAATGGTTGTCAAGATTAAATAATTGGCTAACAGGATAATGAAGGGGCTGATGCTATAAGCCCTGGAATCACACTGCTTGGCTTATCCATGTGACCTTTTGTAAATGTCTCAACTTCCCTATGCCTGCATTTGATCATTAGTAAAATGAAGGTAACAACAATAGAACTTATTCCATGGGTTTATTATAAGGATCTATTGAGATGATGCTTATGAATTACTTAATATAGTAGCTGGTGCATAGTGAACACTTAATAGATATTCAATACTTTTATATTAAAGGGAGATAATGCATGTAAAACTAATGTGAGTAGTGGATCACTTAGTTCTCAGTATGTAAAAGACATTATCAGATAATACTTATGTCGAGGTATGTTTAATGCCAGAGATAAGCTTTTGGTCTGCTGGCCAACCCAAGTATTCTTGGGTCCATTTATCTTTGTAAAATAGAGAAATTTTAGTAAGAAAATTTAACAATTCTCTAAGTGTCTGCCAAGTTTCTTACTAAGCACTTTGATTGATCTGTTTCGACTTTCCTAGTGGGAAATTATCTAAGTCTCCTTATCCCCTCCACTCTCTGCATTTTGAAGAAGATAAATAGACTTGGAGCAACTTCATTCCACTTGTCTGTGTTCTCTAATCTACGGACTCGAAATCTCAGAGAAGCCATACTGATAACCTTCCCTTCCCATCTTTGCTTCTGTGCCAACGTTGTCCCCCACTGTTTGTCAGTTTTAGAAGAGAAGTAACAAGAAAATTCTTCCCTTCTGGAAACTCCAGATGTTCTTGGGGTCAGTTTATAGGCTAATTAAATATTTTATCTTGATTTAAGATCAGAAATGTTCAACTCCCTATCTTGGATAGTCTGTTTTCAAATACTATATTTCAAGAGCTCCTTTTCGTCGGAGTAGTTAGTCCTAGAGACTTTTTTTTTTTAACCCAAAGACTAGTTCCTGTTGAAAGATTATGGTCTTGAAACTGTGTATCAAAGGAACAAAATTTTGTTACCTTTTCCCCTACTTTGATCAATGTTGGTCTTTTCAAACTGAATTCTGGAGAAACTAGGATTTGTAATTGGGGAGCATATTTTAGCCTACCTCAATTGAAGATTTGCTTAATCTAGTTTCTTCCAATTACTACTGTTATGTGACAATTACCCTGAAATGTAATAGGTTGAATTGAAGCAACCATTTTATTAAGCTCATGGATTCTGTGCTTCAGGATTTTAGGCAGAACACAGTGGATTACTTATTCCAGTTCCACAATGTCTAGGACCTCAGCTGAGAGGACCAGAAGGCTGGGGATAATTTATTGGCCAGAGTTTCAGATCGTGTGAAGGCATCTTCACCCAAGTGTTAGGCTAGGACTTCCAGTTGGAGCACCTACAAGTGAACTTACCTACATGGCAATCTCTCAGGGTAAGGACATAGACCCTCCTTCTTAATAAGAAGAGTGTCAACTTTTTGCCACATAGTTAAACCATGGACTATACCTGGAAACATTAGTTAACTAAGGAGCCCATCTTATTGTCATAGGTTCTATAATTAGTTTAAAGGATGTGGATAAGAGGAACATAGGCATATTTACATTCCAATTCTTATTGAGGGAGTTTTCTCAGAAGCTTGAAAGATGCAAATGTAGGGCTTGAAAAGGAAGGACTTTCTACCCTGAACATTAAACTTAGGAAATGCATGGCCTGAAAAAGTACAACAAGAAGAAAATACAAAGTGAAGTCTACCACCTCTGGAAATAATAGAGAAGAAGAAGAAATAAAAACAGCTAGTATCTTCATAGCCCTCCTACATTTGTTTTTTCACTGATTCCTCACAATACAGCCTACTGAGGTCAGTATTTTCATTGCCATTCTACAGATGAGAGAACTGAGATTCAGAGATGTCATAATAATATTTCTGTATTAGTCTGTTTTCATGCTGCTGATAAAGACAT